>NC_000004.12:84678956-84830471 GCF_000001405.40 Homo sapiens | reverse complement strand
TACCGAACATCATATCTTAGCCTAGCCTACCCTGAAAGTAGCTAGAACACTTATGTTAGCCTATAGTTGGGTAAGATCATCTAACACAAAATCAACTTTATAGTAAAGTATTAAATACCTCATGTAATGTACTGAATACTGTTCTGAAAGTGGAAAACAATGCTTATATGGTTACATAAAGTACAGTTTCTATTGAATACATGTTGCTTTCACACCATCATAAAGTAGAAACATCTTAAGTCAAATCATCAAGTTGAGAACTACCTGATATTACTGTCCTGAAACTCTTTCAAAATAATTAATACACCAATTTGTTCACTTACATTTATTAAGTGACATATGTGAAAGCTAGTACCTAATATATGAGTCAGTTATTAAATACACATTTCCTCCCATTCCTCTGTTAAATCTTAGCTTTTGTTATGTAACAGTGAGTTTCTTTATACAAATACATACCACCAAAGATAAGAAAGTGAAAGTCTTCCTTGAAATGCTACAAATCCTCAGAGTCAGGGATAAGATATAACTGTGTTTTAAACTAATAATATATTATACAAATAAAATTTAAAAAATTGTATTTCCTAAAGTATTTCTGTATCTCATTGGTCTATAGTCTCTCTAATTTATTTATTTATTTATTTATTTATTTATTTATTTATTTTGAGACAGTCTCGCTCTGTCACCCAGGTTGTAGTGCAGTGCAGTGGCGTGATCTTGGCTCACTGCAATCTCTGCCTCCCGGGTTCAAGTGATTCTCCTACCTCAGCCTCCCGAGTAGCTGGGACTACAGGCGCGTGCCACCATACCCAGCTAATTTTTGTATTTTTAGTAGAGACAGGGTTTCACCATGTTAGCCAGGCTATATATTCTCTCTAACTTAAAGTTTTAACTAATTACTAGATTTTTCTTCTTAAACTTAGAAGATAGTTTTTTTGCTTTTTTCATCTTGTTACTATATCAATATAAAAGATCAAAAATATCATTTGGCAGTGGCCATTTGTTTAATGATAAAACATCAAAATATGTGAAAAAATGACAGGTACATACATGTCAACTATTTTTCAACACATTTCTGTATTATCCTTTGTTTACTACCTAGAGGCAGTGCTTTCCCAATGCATATGACTCTTATATTGACTTTTAGAATGTGTTACATTTATCTCATAGTATTTTACAGATATGTTAAAATTTAATGTTTCATTAAACAACAGTTAACAATTAAAAAATTTTTAAGCGATTGTCAGGAATAATGCATATTTATTTAATTATCTATTCTTACAGAGAAAGAGTGTTTATCTACATGTGTTCAGAATATGCAGCAATCAGATGACCTGTCTCCCCTAGAAATTGTCGAAATGTTTGCTGGGCTTTCTTGTTTCCTCAAAGATTCCAGCGATGTTTCCCAAACACTTCTGGATGATTTTCGGATATGGCAAGGATATAATTTTCTTTGTGATCTCTTGCTTAGGTAAGACTGCTCAATTTAAGAATGTATTTTAAATGTCTACTCAGTCTTTTTTATCAAAGAAAACAATGTGATTTGGGGTTATAGGAAAAGCAAATTAAGGAAACACTTATTTAATGTATACCTGGCTTTACTCCCTTCTTTTTCTGGTGCAATCACAGCTTACTGTAGCTTCGTATTCCTGGGCTCAAATGGTCCTCCCACCTCAGCCTCCCAAGTAACTAGGACTACAGGCACGTACCACCACACCCAGCTAATTTTTAAACATTTTCCATAGAGACAGGATCTCGCTGTGTTGCCCAGGCTGGTCTCAAACTCTTGGCCTCAAGCAATCCTTTGGCCTCCCAAAGTTCTGAGATTACAGTCATGAGCCACCACACCTGGCCTATTCCCTTCTTTTTATTCCTGTTCTGCCAACAGAGTGGAAAAGTGAATTTAGAGTTAAATTGCCAAATGCAGGGCACAAACATGATGAAGTCAGAGGTTAGATATGAAGCATAAATCTGCTCTTTAGTAGCTGAGGGAGAAGAATTTAGATAAACTAATTAATATCTTCTTAAAGTATAAACTCTTCTTAATTATATTTTTGGTTCTTTATTTTATAGTACTTCTAGTCTTTTTATTAATGTACTTAATAAGAATAATTATGTAGATGGAATAAAACCTTACAACTGTGTATATGAAACAAATTAATAATTTCAAAATGTGTTACTTAACCCCCTTTTCCATTTCAAATGGTTCGTGCACATACTTAGAAAGTGGCTGGTTACAGATTTTCTTAAGAAGAAGATACTCACCATTTTTCAGCAGCTATTCCTGGGCCATTAATTATTTTTAAATCATTTGATCTATTATAAGACACCACTGTTTTGTAAACTTACTTGTCTCCCTCCCTTCCTTCCTCCCTTCCTCCCTCCCTCCCTCCCTCCCTCTGGGGTCTCATTATGTTCCCAGGCTGGAGTGCAGTGGCATAATCATAGCTCGATATAATTTTTAACTCAAGAGATCCTCCTATCTCAGTTTCCTAAGTAGCTACACCCAGCTATATTTTATTTATTTTTTTTGTAGAGCCTATGTTGCCCAGGCTGGTGCCAAACTCTAGCCTCAAGCAGTCCTCCTGCCTTAGCCTCCCAAAGCACCAGGATTTTAGGTGTGAGCCACCATGCCTGGCCAGAACTTGTTATTTCTAACACCAATTTAACCTAGTTGCTGCTAGTTGATATTAGATAACCCCTAAGAATATCATTTTGCATATATATGCAAGTTTATAAATACATATGAAAGTTGATGAAATAACCACTTCACATTACTAGAGGGGTATTAATTGATTTATCCTTTGAGAACGTAGGTTGGCAAGATATTAAGAGCCTTAAAAATGTTGGTAATCTGATACAATAATTTCATTTATGTTTATTGATCCTAAAGATATAATCCAAATCTTGTAGACAAGATTTTATTTATTAGTGCTTTTTGCATTATGCCAGCTGTTGGAACTCTCACTCCCCAAATGTGTGGTTGGCTCTGCATGGCCCCTGAAAGCTTACCTGTGAAAGCTTACACTAATGTGTGGAAGTACACATACAGCACTAGTAAAGGAAAAAAATAGGTTACAACATACTGTATATAGTATGAGAATAAATATTGTAAAAACTAAACTTTTCATATTAAAAAGATAAGCTTAAGAATAAGAATGTTAAATGTGTTTGTGAGGCTAATCATACTTTTTCTTCTTTCCTACTTTTTGGCATTCTCCAGGTTTATTTTAATGAGAATAATTACTTCTTTTAAGGGGAAATACCCAATAAATCTTTTTTTTTTTTAAAGGGTATTTGTTGCAACCCATTTTGTGTTCTCAGGAAAGCCGTGGTTAAAAGATAATTCCCTAATGACCCCAGTGTTCTTTCAGTACTTCCCAGAGTACTTTATACATTTATTTACTGCATATAAAATTGAAAAATACTTTGTGTTAAATCTGAGAACACAACCAAAGAGAAAAAAAATACTTTCTAAATCATACTTTTCTAGATTGGAACAAGCAAAAGAGGCAGAATCCAAAGATGCCTTGAAAGATCTGGTTAATCTGATAACTTCCCTAACAACATATGGTGTCAGTGAACTAAAACCAGCTGGTATTACCACAGGGGCACCCTTTTTATTGCCTGGATTTGCAGTACCTCAGCCTGCAGGCAAAGGTGAGTCTTGTTTTTTCCCTTCTGTGCTACTGAGAGAAATAGAGAAAGAATGAATTTGTCTTATTTTGGTATATTACTTTTTGTTTCTGTTATATATATAAAAGTAATATAGTTTCCCTTAAAGCTTGTTTTTTTTTTAATGGTTTAAGTATTTCTTAAGTAATAACCTTTAATCTAGCAGATCAAATACTTGAAAATAATATTATAAAAATATAAAATCAAACAAGGAGATTTATATTACAGTATTTTTTAACATTCAAACAATTTAATCAAAACATGCTTCTTTTGAATGTTGGCACTTCGTGCATTTCTACTTTACGTGGATAGAACTCAATTTTCAGCCTAATCTCTGTACCTATTAAGACATAAAATCATCCCTCAGTATCTGTGGGGGATTGGTTCCAGGACCCCCTGCCGATACCAAAATCCACAGATACTCAAGTCCCTGATATAAAATGGTATAGTATTTGCATATAACCTACACGTCTTCCCATATACTTTAAATAAATAATCTCTAGATTACTTAAAATACCAAATACAATGTAAATGCTATGTACTTATTTTGCTGTATTGTTTAGGAAATAATGACAAGGAAAAAAGTCTGTACATATTCAGTACCGATGCAACCACACCTTTTTTTTTCTTTAATACTTTCCATCTGTGATTGATTGAATCCACAGATGCAGAACCCATGGATACAGCGGCTGACTATGGACAGCATGAAGTATAACTGCTTGTATTTTATTTAAAACTAAGCAAAATCTATGTACGGAGGTTACATTATTTCATTTGGGTCGGAGGATAAATTTTTATAGTCTAGATTTCCAAACATTTGGATCCTAATAATATTTAATTACATACTTATGCAAGTTAGTTTTATTATGTATTTTATTTTTCAAAAAATGCACAGTAATCATTTCAAAGTAACCTGAGCCTGGAGGCCTCTAATAGTTTTTATTCACATGACTGTCACTTACTAAGTATTCAATAGGATCATGATATTTCCATTTAAAATTTAACCAGCCAATAAATACAAACATGTCTGGTTATTTAAATTTATAATACATATGTTATGTATTAAATTTGTAATACATATTTAAATTTATAATACATATGTTATGAGTTAGAAATTAACAGTCTATAATCAGTGAAAATAGATGGCGTCATCAGTGTAATATGATGTGCCCTCAGTACATAAGTTGTTTAGAACCTTTTAAATGAGTCTCTGCAGTAAATAGGGAGAAATCCATGTTTCCCTAAGTGATTTAAGGTTTCATTTTATTTACTATCAAGAAAAAAATAGTGTGGCAATTCACACCTGTAATCCCAGCTACACAGGAGGATCTTTTGAGCCCGGGAGTTCAAAGCTGCAGTGAGCTGTCATCACACCACTGCACTCCAGCCTGGGTGACAGAGCAAGACCCCCTTTCTCTTAAAAGCAAAAAAAAAAAAAAAAATAGAGACTTCTCAGAAAATTTCTAATTTATAGATTCCAGCTTGATCATTCTACAGTTAAATCTTCCTATGAATTAATATAAAAATATTGCAGCAATGTACTTCCTATTTTATACTTTATTGTTGTTTCATTTGGTTTATCAATGTGATGTTGATATTGGCATAATAGCTAATCACAACAATTTAATTTTGTAATAATGCAGCAAAATTAATCTTGTGCATATATCATTGCCTGGTTTTGTCTCATTCATAACAGGGATAATAATTATATAACCTAGCACCTCCCAGGGTTATGGTGAGAATCCAGTGACATAATGTCTATGAAAGTAAGGCTATCTAGAAAGGATGATGCCCTAAGAGTCAGAATTTATGTAATCATAAGTGACCTAACTTTTCTAAACATCAGTTTCTTCTTCAGAAAAATTGGCATAATATTCTATAAAGTGAATGGGTGAAGCTACATCATTTTGAGTTTCCTGTATAACTCAAAATTTTCTGTTTCTCATGGCCTACTTTTAGCATTATTGCAAGGATCATAGGAAATAGCTGTATTCCATTATAGAAAGAATGTGGAATAGGTTGTCTTTTACATTTTCTAGCAGTATTGAGGTGTAAATTGTGTACATTAAATCTACTCAATTGAGTGTTGAATTTGATGAGTTTTGACAAGTGGATATGGTTGTGTAATCACCACCGTAATCATGATGTGGAATATTTTCACCGTCTAGAAAGTTTCCTTGTTCTCCTTGCAGTCAGTCCTCCCCACCTTAACCCTTGCCCTGGCAACCACTAGTCTGTTTTAGTTTTGCCCTTTCTAGAACTTAATACACTGTAATCATACAGTATATAGTTTTTTTTGTATCTGGATTCTATCTAATCACTCCCCTCTTAACTGGGGGAAATGTGTTCCAAGGTCCCCAATGGATACCTGAAACCACAGATAGTACCAAACCCCTATATATTCTATGTTTTTCTTCCACATCATACATATGATAAAGTTGAATTTATAAATTTGTCACAGTAAGAGATTAACAACAATAATAGTAAAATATAACAATTATAGCAATACACAATAATAAAAGTTATGTAAATGTGTGCTCTCTCTTAAGAGCATGAGCACTCTGTCTCAGAATATCTTATTGTATGTAATGTTTTCAGACTGTAATTAACCATGGGTAACTGAAACCACAGAAAATAAAACCATGAAAATGGGGAGAATATTGTAATACTTTGGAGAATCACCTATGTTATTGCATGTATCAGAAGTTTGTTCCTTTTTAATGCTGGGTATTATTTCATTGTTTGGATAGTCCACAATTTGTGTATCTCTTCACCAGTTGATGGACATTTATTTGACTATCAGGAATAAAGCTACAGTGGACATTTATATAAAACAAATCTTTCTGTGGACATACGTTTTCATTTCTTTTAGCTAAATACAGAGTAGTTAAAGTGCTAGATCATATGGTAAATGTATGTTTAACTTTACAAGAAACTGCCAGAGTATCTTCTAAAGTGGCTGTCCAATTTTTGCATTCACATCAGTAATGTCAGTTCCAGTTGCTTGACGCTGTCAGTAACACTTGGTATTGTTAGTCCTTTTAATTTTAGACATTCTACTAAGTATGTAATAATGTCTAATTGTTATTTTAATTTTCATTTTTATAATTGACTAATGAAGTTTTGCATTTTTTATGTGCTTTGTCACCATCTGTTTCTCTACCTTGGTTCAGATCTCTGAGCCCATTGTTTGATAGGGTTGTTTTACTGGAGTTATAAGAGTTCTTTAGATATTCTGTATAAGTTCTTTATCCCTTAATATGTATTTTGGAAGTGTGTTCTCTTAGTTTTGACTTGCTGGTTTTTTTTTAACGCATCTTTTGAGAAATGGAAGTTTTAAATTTTGATGAAGTCCAGTTTTTCATTTTAATAATATTTTGTGATTGTTTTTCTCCTATTGAAGAAATCTTTACTTCAGATTCACAAAGATCTCTAATGTTTTCTTCTGATTTTTTCTTTATCCAGTGTTTCATATTTTAACTTTTAAATTAAGGTCTATGGTACATTTTAAGTTATTATCATAGAGGGTAGAAAGTAAGGATTTCTTTTTTAATATGGGTATCTGAATGTGCCAAGACCCTTTGTTGAAAATATCATATATGACTACATATATCTGAGACACTTTCTGAATTTTGTTTGATTGATCCATGTACCTGTCCTTAAGCCAATACCACACTGTCTTGATTGCTGTAGCTTTATAATAAGCCTTAAAATCAGGTCACTTAAGTTGTCCAGTTTTGTTCTTTCTTCTCAGAATCATATTGGCTATTCTAAGTCTTTTGATTTTCCATATAAATTAATAATCACATGAACTATTTTTTTGAAAAGCTGCTGAGATGTTGATTATTCTTTTCCAGACATCTTTACTTTTTATATTATGTAGGTAACCAAAAAACAAACTTAGATAGACTGATAGACACAGGAAACAAAGATAAATTTTTGGTATTTGCCATACATGTAATAAACAAGAAATTAGAGAATTGAAATCATATATAGGCTGGAGATTTTTTAAATTTCCTGTGTTTTTAAGAAATGTCGAAGTCAAGATTTCTGAGCATTCTTTTTTGTTTGTTTGTTTGTTTATTTTACAGACAGGATTGCTTTCTGTCGCCCAGGCTGAAGTGCAGTGGTGTGATCATAGCCCACTGCAACCTCAAACTCCTGGGCTCAAGCAATCCTCCTGCCTCAGCCTCCTGCCTCAGCCTCCTGAGTAGCTAGAACTACAGGCACATGCCACCATCCCCAGCTAAATTTTTTTTTAAATCTCTTGTAGAAATGGAGGTGGTCTTGCTATGTTACCCAGGCTAGTCTAGAACTCCTGGCCTCAGGCAGTCTTCCCAAAGTGCTAGGACTACCGGTGTGAGCTACTGCCCCCAGCCCTGAGTGTTCTTTCTGCTCCATTTACTAATTTTGGTAGTTCTCTGGTTTATACTCTTTCTGAAATCCAGCTTATTCTGTCAGACACTATGTTAATTTTTTGGTCATACTTGGAAATGCCATATACTCCTAATAGGTATTGTTCTGGGGACTCCTTTTACAGGCAAGCTGCTTATTTTCATGTACTTCAAATAGAACTTTCTGTCTTAATTTCTTTATAATTATTGTCACTAATTTGCCTCACCAGAGCCATGTATAAAGTTTTTTTTTCCCCATTTGGTACGTTTGAATAGCTGGCCATAAATTACTTTAACAAATGTCTATATGAAGAAATTGTACTGTTAGCTAGAAAACAAAACAAACTTCCAGCTTAAAATTTATAAAAATCACAGTGTTCTAATTATAAAGGAAAACTGGAATTTAGAAAAATTTTCCCCTCCTGTTTTCCTGCTTCATTATTGCTGCTCTCAGGCCTGTAACTTCTTCAGCCTCAAAGTCTTTTTAAATTGAGAGACAGCTGTCCTTATAGTCAAAATCAATCTCATAGATAATAAAACTACCACTCTAAACTCTGAAGCATGGATGTTTATAATAATATGCTTTTATTCCCTCTAAAACAGTCTAACTTTTCAACATACACTATTTTTGAATTGAAATATTCATAATAATGCATTAAAGTTTTAATCATTGTTATTTTTAATTAAATGATTTGAACCTGATGAAGAAAAATAAGACCTTTTGTGAAAACAGGGTTATGTTCTTAGTAAATAATTGATAAATGTTATAATTCATGATGTGTTTAAACAGACTAGTTTGCCATCATTAAAATATCACATAGTACCTACTTTTATGTTTTTCTTTTCTGTTCTAGGTCACAGTGTGAGAAACGTCCAGGCCTTTGCAGTTCTTCAGAATGCATTTTTAAAAGCAAAAACCAGCTTCCTTGCCCAAATCATCCTTGATGCTATCACAAATATTTACATGGCTGACAATGCCAATTACTTCATCCTAGAGTCACAGCACACATTGTCACAGTTTGCAGAGAAGATTTCTAAACTCCCAGAAGTACAAAACAAATACTTTGAGATGCTGGAGTTTGTTGTTTTTAGCTTAAATTATATACCTTGTAAAGAACTTATTAGTGTCAGTATCCTCTTAAAATCTAGCTCTTCTTATCACTGTAGCATTATTGCAATGAAAACACTTCTTAAGTTTACAAGACATGACTACATATTTAAAGACGTGTTCAGGGAGGTTGGCCTTTTGGAGGTCATGGTAAACCTTTTGCATAAATATGCTGCCCTGTTGAAGGATCCAACTCA
The DNA here is from genome assembly GCF_000001405.40 of Homo sapiens. Lineage (NCBI taxonomy): Eukaryota > Metazoa > Chordata > Mammalia > Primates > Hominidae > Homo > Homo sapiens. The sequence goes on along the minus strand of NC_000004.12, from coordinate 84,821,100 downwards.
GGCACTAAATGAACAAGGTAAAGTATTGTCTGTAATTTTATTTTTATTTGAAAAGGGGTTCAAAACAGAGAATTTTTTGTTCTTGTTCCCATTCTTTGGTTATTGATTTCAATGACTTCCTAATGTGCATTATTGTGACATATTAGTGAACTGTATTTTCCAAAATTTACAGGTTCATTCAACCTCTGTTAGGTAATTGAGGAGGAGGAAGCTAGAATTATGTGAGTGTATTGGAGAGAGTTTAAAGGAAGGTAAAAACTGAGGGAAAACATGTATGATCCACATGACTAGTATCTACTGCCTTGTGCTTCTAAGAGCGAGCTTTAAAAGCTTCTGAAAATAATCAGATTTGTTATTAATTACAACTAATAAATATAGTTAAATGTATAGTTACTTCAATGTGTTTTTATTGTACAGAGCAAATACGTATATTTAATGATGTTATATACACAATGTATTATCATTGGGTACCTCTCTGATAAATCTGATAAAAGTACAGTAGTATCTGGCAATTAATAAGTATTAAATGTGAATTAATACAGGTTGAATAGATAGCTTTATTCATGAACTTTTCTCTCTTTTTGGTGTATCAAAATCTAGCGTTCTCCTGTTGACATCCTTTATTAGGAAAACCCTCTGTGAAGAGGATATATTTAACCTTTGCATTTTCATTTTTAATATTTATTGGATAACGGCCACTTGCAAGCATACCGAAATAAAATCTGTTAATATTGATTTTGAGCCTACTTTTGCCAAATGTTGGATGCATGCATCGTTTTAAAGATTATATTATATCTGTCCTATTAGGGGTAAAACTGAATACTGAAGAAATAAAGAAATTATTACAGTAAAACGGAATCAAGAAAAAATAAGCTTATCACTTTTGTAATTTGGACCTTTGAACCTTTTTTTAGGGGACTCAAGAAATAATAGTTCAGTTGAAGACCAAAAACACCTGGCTTTATTGGTTATGGAGACCTTGACAGTGCTTCTTCAAGGATCAAACACAAATGCAGGTAATTTAAAAAGCTGCAAGCAAATACTTTGGGAGATTACCACTGATTACATCTTCTGTGGTTATTCTTGCTTCTGAAATCTTCCTGTCACTTTAGAGAAAAAACTATTGATTCAGTGATGGTACCCGTCATGTCCCTAAAAATGCAGTGCTTTTGACCATCAGGAGCACCTTGATGACAAAACATATAAGATTGTTACTATTTCAAAATGATGTTTAAATTGCTTTTTATAGTGTCTTGTGTTGAAAGTATTCTTCTAATTTTTTATTGATACACTCTTACTCAAATAAGTTGCTATTTAAATTCTTTCTAAAATATTTTCTTTACACAGTGATTTAAAGAATATTTTTAGTACTACAAGTTAGAGTATTATAATGTTACAACCTTCAGGAAATACTGAACAATGATTCTCTAATAAAACGTAATCTCTCCAAGGTTAATTAACTTTACTAAATATTTTGTTTAATTTTGGTCTCAATTTCTCTTTTATACTTTTCTACCTGTCATTAACAGATAACCTAACTATATTTATAAAATATCACTCTTGCTTTTTAAAAAAGATTACTTGAGATTTTAATTAACATCAAACAACTCTCAGGTAATAAGTTCAGTACAACTTGAGAGGAATAATGAGTTCAGATTAGTAGGCTGGGCTCAAATCATAGGGAGCTTTTTAGGCCATGGTAAGGAGCTTGAAATATATTTTAAGTGTTATGGAAAGCCATGGATGAATGAACCCCATGCCCAAATGCATGACTGTTTGCCTGAATGCAGGGAAACTCAGCATTCATCATATTTAAAATATATTGTGTATCCCAGGTACCATGCTAGCTAGGTGTTAGATTATTCTAACACCTAGATGCTAAGGTAAGATCATTCTTGCTCCCTGGGAATTAGAATCTAGTGAAGAAAAATGTAGACACATAATTATAGAAGTAATTAGTCTGATACAAATTTGGCAAATGCTAAGATAGACTTGAATGAATTTAACAGGTAATTGAAACAATGAGTATGATGAATTTTAGTGGATACTATAGTAACATTTTGTCTATGGCATAATGCATAATCTTATTTCCACTAACTAGGTTTAGTTAACTGAGATAATCAGAAACATAATGAAGATAGACTAACAGGAATTTGCTTAGCAAATTAGCTTTCCTTGAGACGACCTAGAAGTTGCACAGGAAGAGATTGGACAATTGGAGAGCTTACTCTGCACGACTAAAAGTCACTTAGTACATATCCCAAAGTGCCAAACAATTTCATACAATTCTTTTCAGTTTTTCTTTTCCCAGTATGAAAGATGTTACTAGCTGTGTGATGTTAGGCATTTAAAACAGTACTTTACTCATAGTTTAAGTATTTAAATAATATTAGCCATTATGATTATCTAGTGGGTCCTAACTGACAACCAGGAGGTAACTAAACAGGCCTTCAGGTAATGAAAGGATGTCACAAATTCCATGTGCTGAATCTCAAGCACATGGCTTAGACTGACTTCATGATCTTATAATTTTTATAAAGTTAACAAATAGAAAGCCACTAAGCAGAGAGGACAGTGGCTGCTATAGCAGAATACACTGTTTTAGTAAACGTTTATTGAAACACAAATCAGGAGAAAATCCAGTAGTCATGGAAGACCAAACATAAGCAATAATAGTAAGACTGTTTGTTATAAACCATAATAGAGATATAAACAAGATGCCCTAAAAACGTAAGGGATAGAAGAATTACTTAGAGGAAATACTAATTAGTGATTTCAGTCACTGGGCCCATTTTTTTAATACTGGAGGATGATATTAATATTTGATGTGAGAACAGTATCACTTGTGAGCAGGAGCACAGGCTTACAGAGCTGGGCTATGTAGGCATACATCCTTTTCTGTTGCTTACTAGCTGTATGACTTTGACCGCCTTACCTCTATATGGTAGGGGATGAGTATTAAGTAAGTCAATCTGTGTAAAGGCTTTGGAGCAGTAACAATGACACATACTTCTGTTACAGAATTTGTCACTTTTTGTTCTTATGCTCTACCTGTGCAACAAAACATGTTGGTTCCTTGTAATTTTTCCCATGGTGGAATAATTTATTCCATTCCTTTCTTGCTACTATTTTGGAAGCCATGTTCATTTAAATCTCCTTTATTTAGGCTATTGTTCCTCTGAAAGCCTTTTACATAAGTTGATTACAATAGAGAGTCTCCTAGGGTCTGCCTAAGAGACTTGTGAATGTTCTAGATTTTGAGAGCTTGGACATGGTGAACATATCACGGCATTAATCTTGCATTAAGGAAATGTAGAGAAAATTTGCATATACCTTTGCTGACAACCCACTGTGCAAATTTGTATTGTAATTTAAAAGGTGAAATAGTTGGGTAGGTTTTATTTACATTATTATGAGTTACTTTACCTACAAAAAATAACTGAATGTTAATTCATCTGACTTGTCTCAGAATATTTTAAAGTAGCCATTGTTGGACTTTTTCTCCTTCCTTCAAGGAATTTTTCGAGAATTTGGAGGTGCAAGATGTGCACATAATATAGTAAAGTACCCTCAATGCCGGCAGCATGCCTTGATGACTATCCAACAGCTGGTGCTCTCCCCAAATGGGGACGATGACATGGGCACTCTCCTGGGGCTAATGCATTCAGCCCCACCGACGGAATTGCAGTTGAAGACTGATATTTTAAGGGTAAGTTTGATAAATGTGTTTCCCTTCTTTTACTACTAAAATCTGTGGTTATTTTTAGATGATCTGTATTTAAGTTAGAGACAGGGAAATTAAAAAAAATCCAAATTACCCAAGAAACCTCACAACTTTGTACACGTTAGGAACTTGGAAAAACTCCAGTCATTTATGTCTTTCAGTATATATTTTACTTCTGCTGATAAACCTTTTCAGTAATTATCTTGACTTACTGGAACTCTTAAATTAAATATTAGTGAAGTATAGGATCTTAATTAATACTAAATATATGTATTTTCTGATCAGTTAAATTCACTCATAGTGTTATGCATCTGTGAAATGAATGTTAGATTTGGCATTTTATACACATGCATGCATATATGTATGTATGTAAGTAATGGATATTCTAGTAGATATCAAACAATATACCAGGAGTTATACATATGCTTTTATCATTTACTCCTTAGTAATACTATAAATTAAGTAGCACCCTGTTTTGCAGATGAGAAAACTTAGGTTTAGAGAAATCATATAACATGGATTTTGTTCACTTAAGTGACTTTTAATTAGTAGAACCGACCCCCAGATTTCAATACCCGTTTTATTTCCACAGCACCATTGTTTTATACAGATTTATACACTCACATTCTCCCATATTACTGGTTATTGATATTATAAGAAATGATATGTAAGAAATTTTTAGAATCAAACTATAATCGAATGTTTCACTTTCATTTAGAAGTGAATTTAGTAATGCAAGTAAGGAGTAATGGAAAAGTAGACTATTAAATATTAAATGATATATTTTAAAAATTTCCAAGTTCCAGATATAATAGTAGCTAACATTTATTGACTGCTTTCTATTAGTACTGTTGTATGCATTTATCTGCATCTACTTATTTAATCCTTATGATAAAAATAAATACTATTAGTGTCCCTGCTTTACATACTGTAAACTGAAACACAGACTGGTTGAAATATTTTCCCAAGTTCTATATGTCTGTCTAGTAGGTAGAGGAGTCTAGATCTGAACCCATGTAGTCTCTTTGTAAAGCTGTGCTTTCAGCTTATCTGCTGTGAATAATAGTTGTTTTAATAAAAAGAGACATAGCCTTCTCTTTCTGTGACTAAAAACCTGCTCTTGTATTTAAATAATATCTGAGTAAAGTGAAAGAAGTCCATTAAAATTTATGTTCTTTAATTTATTGATTGATGCAAGGTTTCTAAATACAATTTTCCGTTGTAAGGATTCAGGCCTCCTTGATTCCAGGACGAGGGCAGAGAAAGAAACAAAATGAGCCTAAAACATTTCAGTTAGCCTTGAAAAAGTAAAGAAGAGATCAAAGAAAATAAGCAATTAAGTAAGTACAATCAAACAAATAGAGAAGAGGAAAAACTCTTACTTATAGTCAAAAGTCAAAGAAAATCACAATTTATGAACTATCGTAGTAATAATTGATTCAAGTAAAATTCATCACTGGATACTAAAGATAGTAGATGAAAGTTTTAGAAGTGAAAGGATTTTTGCGTACTCTTAAATTTTATCCTTAAAAGATATTTCTTAATTTCGAGTGCTAAAATATTAGCTTTACAATGGACCCTACCGTAACTAAATGATCAGCATTAACTTTGCCAGTGATGGACAGATGAATAGCATACACCTCCTGATAGGAAGCACTGAGAAAAATTCAGCTCATTTTTGTACTTTTTCCTCCCAAAAGTATATAATATGAATCTGATTATTAGAAAACATCAGATAAATCCTAATTGGAGGACTTTCTATGAAATAATTGGCCTAAACTCTTAGAAAAAGGAGATGAAATGAAATTAAAAATGACGTAGGAACTGTTCCAAAAAGTAGAGGTTGAAGTGACTACTGAATATAGTACATGAACTTGTATTTTCCTTTGCTATGGAGGATATTATTGGGATTTGGAAAAAACACAAGGTCTGTAGATAAAATAATTGTATTGTTTGAACGTTAGTTCTCTGATTTTGAGCATTGTACTGTGAGTAGTAAGAGAATTCCTTTTTTTGAAAAACACTGAAGCTTTTAGGGGAAAAGGGAAGGGGAGAAAGAGAGAAATTAAGTAAAATGGTAATTTTTCAAGAATCTGAATGAAGGATATCTGTGAATTCTTTGAACTATTTATGCAGTTTTTCTTCAAGTCTAAAATGACATTAAAATAATAACAGACAAACCAGTGTGTTTAACCTTGCTTCCAAGGCCCTTGTGACCCGATCTCCATCTCCTTTCACTTCCTCTACTAGTACTCTCACCTGTAGATGAGAAAAACATTATTTTTCCTCTACCTGCTGAGTTCTTAACTAGGACAGACCAGTGTTACAAAAGACAAATTAACAAGAGAAAAACAAACAAGTTTATTAACATGTCTACCTCATATGTGCGTGGGAAACAACCAGGGAAAGATAACTAATTCTCAAAGAGGTGGCTTAGAACTCCATTTTGTATGGTAGTCCCCCCATATCTTCGGGGGAATACATTCTAAGACCCCCCAGAAATGCCTGAAACTGCAGATAGTATGGAATGCTATATATACTATGTTTTTTTCCTGTGTATATTCATACCTGTGATAACATTTAATTTATAAATTAGGCACAGTAAGAGATTAACAACAATAACCAATAATAAGATAGAATAATTATAACAATATGCCAGTGTCACTACTCTTGTGCTTTGGGACCACTATTAAGTAAAATAAGGGTTACTTGAACACAGGGACTGGGAAACCTCCACAGTTGCTCTGATAACCGAGACTCTGCTCAGTGACTAACAGGCAGGTGGCTTTTGCAGCATATGTACACTGGACACAGGGATGAGTCACAGTGGTGTGGGGCAGTGTGAGATTTCATCATGTTACTCTGAACAATACACAATTTAAGACTTTTGAATTGTTGTTTCTGGTATTTTTCATTCAATATTTTTAGGCCAAGTTTGAGCACAGGTAACTAAAACGAAGGAAAGCAAAACTGCAGAGAAGGGGGACCACTGTATAGCATTCTCCGCAAAGAACAGTACATTTTTAGAGAAATGATGACATAAAGGAAACGGACTCTAGGGATATCAACTTGTGGGAAGGCAAATAAATGGTAGATAAAGAATAGTTGGTAGTTTGTTGTGTGCATTTCTTTGCTGTCTCCAGGCTGGGAAGGGTCTGACTTCATCAAATAGGGGATGGCAGAGAGTTTTCTTATATCTACTTCTTCCCAATTGCCTTCAACTGAAAATAATCCTTATGCCATAGTGGCGTATTTTGGGGTGGCATATACTAGTTTCCTACATACCCCATTCCAGCCACAGACATTAGTAGTTATTACTTCTATTTTCTTTTACTTTTATTCAATTAAATGTTTCATTGGTAATGAAAAAATAGCATTTCTTTCCTTATGCTGTCATATATTTCATCATGTTTTGATGGTGTATAATGACAATTTTGAATATGCATCTTAAAAGCAAGATTAATCTCACCGCAATTTATCTGTTAGACAAAAAGGATATCCACATGAGTGTCGATATTTGAAGAACATTTTATATTTGAAGGAATTGTTGGGAGAACATAGATGGCTTCAAAAGATGCTAAGGTTGCCAACTTTTTTTTAACATACCATTTTCTCCTCTTTTGGTACCTTATTAATTGGATTTTTTAAATATTGGTAAGTAAAGCCAACAAGAAGTAATTGGCTGACCCGTAATTTTGAGGCAGTGTTCTGGTTAATGTTAGTAACTGATTCTCAGGCTGGAAGAGGGCAGGAGAGAGTCATGATATTTTGCATTTACTGATTTCCAGGGTATAAATACTCACATTGTGGCCTATTCAGTCAACTAATGTGCCACTGAATGTGGATTGGAAAGAGTTGCACAGTAGTACACCATTATATAGCATTTCCTCATGCAGATACGTAAAAGCATAGATAATAGTAAAATTCAGAAAATAATTAGAAACTGATGAGTTTTGAGTATTTTGTCTGTAAAATACTTAGTTGTAAATTTGTTACTTAATTTTTAATTATGATTGTACGTTTAACAACTGACTTACAAAATTCCTGAAAATATGGCACTTGACCTCTTGAGAGCCGGTATGAGCTAGCTCTGGCATTCTGCTTTGAAGGGAAAAAGTAGCGCTGAGAGCCAATAGGGAAAATGTGGGTTCTCAGTTTCAATTTCCATTTTTACTTCATTCAGAATTGCTTCTTAGTGCCTCCATTCAACTGACATATACCACAGACCTATGTAATTTAATTTGTAATTACATAGTGCCTCCATTCAACTGACATATACCACAGAACTATGTCATTTAATTTGTAATTATTTATACACAAACCTGACATTCCATGACATGTCATGGAAATTCTCCTGATGCACAAATTTGAATTGTATGAATTGTATTTATGCAAATATAAGTAATATATAGCTGATTTTGTCTAATTAACCAAGCAGCCTCCAGATCTCATTGCAGCTTTGGTGTTTGCTACTTGTCATCATTTATTGATGTAAGTGGGAAGTTACATTATTCATGGTATTTGAAATTTTTCGAATACTGAGATTGTGCTTGGGATAATGTCAGAGCAACAACAGATACCAGTTTTGAGGAAGTAGGAGGTGGGCCTGTCCAGAAGTACATAATATAAATTATTGGACTAAGATTCGTAAGCAGCAGTTTTTCTAACCTCAGTCATAATTCTAACCAGTGATAGCATTTTGTACATGTTACTTTAACTTTGAACTCACCCCTCCTCATCTATAAAATAATACTTGTCATATTTTTCTCCCAGTATGTTTTTGAAAATTGATGATAGTGATAGGCTTATATGCCGGGCACTTCTCTAAGGGTTCTTACATGTATTTCCTTTGAGGTTAGTTATTGTTGTTTCCATTTTACATAAGAGGGAACTGTGACACAGAAAGGTTAAGTAACTGGGATGGTTAAATACTTTTTAATGTTGGAGTCAGAATATGACCCCAAGCATCCTGAGTTCAGCCATCTTCAGCCTGTGTTATAAGGAGTGTATGTGTGTGTGTGTGCGTGCATGCGCATACATGTCTGTGTTAAGTCTTTTGTTAATATGAAATATTTTAAGTATTCATATAGTTTATTAAATTTGACAAGATAGGGAAACTAACTATATTGTTACCAGATACTAAAATGTAAATTTATTGATTGAAGACTATTGGAAGAAACATTGTTTTTATATTTTATTTACATACAGATTGCATATTTTCTGTCTTTTAAAATATTAAGGAATAGGTGTGAACAATGAAATCTTCATAACTTCTGAAACAGTATATGTCAAAAGGTGACTAATATATTAATACAGGTTGAGCATCCCTCATCCAAAAACCTGAAATTCAAAATGCTGCAATCTTTTTGAGTGCTGACAAGTGGAAAATTCCACACCTGACCTCATGTGATGGTAAAGTTGCATGAGCAAAATTATTTAAAATATTGTATAAAATTACCTTCAGGCTATGTGTATAAGGTATATATGAAACATACATGAATTTTATGTTTAGATAACTTACTGTATATGTGCAAATATTCCAAAATCCGAAACCTTTCTGGTGCCAAACACTTTAAATAATGGATATTCAACCTGTATGTAGCCTTTTCATTCTTCAGATACCATTAGAAATGTGTGAGATCTTTTAAAAAAAAATGACTTTTTCAAATGCGATGATTGGACAGATTAGAAATTATATCTTAAGTAATAGTAGATACCCATTGTGCTACAATTAATGAAACAGAGGGCAAAGGAGCCCACTGTATCCATGAAAAAGATTTCAGCTTGCTGTTTGGGGCATAATGTCATGATTAAGTGCAGGAGTAGGGTAATTAGACTGCCTAGGTTTAAATTCTACCTTTACCATTTTATAAGTTGTATAGTCTTTGGAGAGTTATTTTACCACATTGGGCCTCAATTCCTTATCGATAAAGTGGAAATAATAATAGTACCTTACCCATAGGATTGTTGAAAGGATTAAATAAGCTAGTGCATAAAAGCACCTAGAGTGCCTAGTACATAGCAAGTGCCTGATAAAATATTAGGTGATTTTGTAATGTGTTTTTTAAAATCATAAGCTGGCCAGGGCGGTGGCTCACGCCTGTAATCCCAGCACTTTGAGAGGCAGAGGTGGGTGGATCACTTGAGACTAGGAGTTTGAGACTAGCCTGGCCAATATGGTGAAACCCCATCTCTACTAAAAATACAAAAAATTAACTGGGCATAGTGGTGCGTGCCTGTAATCCCAGCTACTCAGGAGGCTGAGGCACGAGAATTGCTTGAACCCAGGAGGTAGAGGTTGCAGTGAGCCAAGATCATGCCATAGCACTCCAAGCTGGGTGATAGAGCATGACTCTGTTTGTGTTTTAAAAGAAAAAAAATCATAAGCTAAGTTAAAATTATGACAGTTCAGAAAGTAAATGTTTGATTTACTTATTTACTTGTTTTCTTTTTTAAAGCTTACAGCTGTTTTGGGAAAAGCCATACTTTCAACCCTTAGGCTTCAGTTCATTTTGCAAAAGAGAATGTTTAATAAGTCTTCTAAAGTGAATCTGCTTTCTAAAGCATGAATATGGTCACTTTATGTGAGACAAAAGACCTCAGATCTTGGCTGCTCTGACCATCTCTGTGATCCCTTCTAGAATTAATCAGTTTGTATACACACAGTCATAAGTTCTCATGATTGTGTAAAACTAGACTAGAAGATATATTTTACTTACTTTGTAAAGTCACTGAATTCATTGATGTCATAATCAGTTAAAGACTCTGGAAAAGCTTTTCAGCCAATATTTGGATGTAGCTTTATTCTATCAAAGAAATATGTGATAGTGTTTCCTAAAATTACCTTCAGCATTTAATGTGGCTTTTTTAATTAGCAAACTATTTGATATGCTTTATAGGACCGTTTATTGGGTAAATGATAAAAACATGTCAGATTCACAGAATGTACAACCTCCATATACATGCATAGTGGTTTTTTTTTTTTTTTGAATTATGTGTATTTTCATTTGTTTTTTCTTTTGTCTCCTGTAGGCCCTCCTGTCGGTCCTTCGAGAAAGCCATCGTTCAAGAACAGTTTTTAGGAAAGTTGGAGGATTTGTGTACATTACATCCTTGCTCGTTGCTATGGAAAGATCTTTGAGCTGTCCACCCAAGAATGGCTGGGAGAAAGTGAACCAGAATCAAGTGTTTGAACTTCTTCACACTGTGTTCTGCACGTTGACTGCAGCAATGCGCTATGAGCCAGCCAACTCTCATTTCTTCAAAACAGAGATTCAGTATGAGAAGTTGGCAGATGCTGTTCGATTTCTTGGCTGCTTCTCAGACCTAAGAAAAATAAGCGCCATGAATGTCTTCCCCTCAAATACACAGCCATTTCAAAGACTTTTAGAGGAAGATGTAATCTCAATAGAATCAGTGTCACCCACGTTACGGCACTGCAGTAAACTTTTTATTTATCTTTACAAAGTAGCCACAGATTCTTTTGACAGGTATGGCTCTGCTCTGTCCTCTGAATTAAAGGGTGTATACTAAGCATGACTTCAACATTAAGACTTGAATTATGAGTTAATCCAAAAGAATATGAAAACAGATGACTCTTCTCCTATTTGTTTGAAGTGTATCACTTTATTTTTGAATATTACTCTTGCTCTGGTATTGTTTTTTTTTTTTTTTAGCATGGAAGCCTGTGTACTATTTGTAAATTCAGGTTCAATTAGTTCTCATTGCAGTTATTGGAACAGTTTCTATGAAGTTTCCTTTAATGATAGTGTTTACTGTTGTTTTTTTTCTTTTTAGCCTCAAAAGGTGCATCTGGACTTATTGATATGTGTTATCAATAGAACATCATTATGATTATTCTTATTTCCAGACACGTACTCCATCATTCTCCACATATCATACTCCTCAAAAAATGATATAGTTCCCAAAGAGAGGTGTCAGTGTCTTGAACCGTCAAGTTCAAGAGGCCATCAGACTCAATATTTACTCATTCCTTCATGAAATAAGTACTTAACAAAAAGCTGCTGCATGCCAAGTCACTGTGCTAGGCATTGAGGATTCAGCTCTACACAGGGCTGTCTTGGTCCTTGCTATCTTTTAGCTAAAATGTAGACACATAAATAAACAATTACATATAGTGTGACACATTCTACAGTGGGGGAATCCAGGGTTCTCAGGCAGATTGTAGGAGAGCCACTTCATCTAGATCACTTATTTTCAGTGCTTCAACTGTGTTTTCAATGAAGATGTCACTTTGAAAATAATACTTCTAATTTATGCCCCAAGTGTTATTGCTTTTAACTTACCATAGTTTTACTACATAAAATAAATGAACTGCCCTCATCAATAGACCATGTAACTACATTGGATAGAGCTTGTAATAGGTTTTGTGTCCTTTTCTGTGGAATATCTGCTTTGAAGTATCAACTGAGATATTTCCTGCTTCTTAACAAGATTTCTTAGTCCTCAGTATTTACATTTAAAAATCCAAACAGCTTTGACAACAATTGTAAAAAAAAAAATCATTAAACTTCTGCTTTTCCCTATCTTGAAGTAAAATGCATATGTATAGTTAATTTATCGAAAACACAGGACAGTGTAGTGTTCTAGGAATGAGCTATATAAATTTGTGTATTCAGATTCAACCTCTTTTCCCTTGATTTCTACTTATCCTAGTTAGAATACATCATTTTTAGTCACTGTCAAAAATAGGGCTTAGAGCACCCTGTTTAACAGATGTGTTAAATGTTAACATGAATGGAATAAGCATCTGCCGTGAGCATGCTTTTCTGTTTCATTCAGTGCTTGTGTTGTAGTCTTGTTCCTTGTTCCTGCTGAATATGGAAGATGTTCCTTATTAAACTTTTACTGGCATTTCTTGTGAAACTAACCAACTGCCAACCTGGTGTTCTCTTCTTCTAACCTCTCTAAACCACCCTGTCTGTTTTGTTGTCTGTAGTCGTGCAGAACAGATCCCTCCTTGCCTGACAAGTGAGTCTTCTCTCCCCTCTCCTTGGGGTACACCAGCTTTGTCCAGGAAAAGGTACTGATCATATAAGAGAAGTCAGTCTCTATTTGTGTGGGGTTCCTTTTTTTCTGTGCTTATTTATGTTAACATGTTGATTGTGTTTTGTGATTTCAGTTTTTTTTTGTTTTGTTTTGTTTTGTTTTTACTTTTGGGGTTTTGGGGGGTGTTTTTAGATTTTAAAGATATCAGTTTTTCATGAGAGTAAAATGTGTTGATGCTATGAAACTATGAAGGACATATATAATTTTGTCATCCAACTGTTTTCATAACTAAACTACACATTTTTGTTATAGAAAAAACATGTCTTTTATTAAAAATAAGTTAGAAATGTGGACTTAATGTCTCTAAGTAGAATACTTTTCCACTTTTTTTATTTTTCATTTTTTTTTTATTTTTTACTTTAAACGTTGGGATCATTTGTTGGTTTTTACTGTTATTCCAAAATGAATTTCATAGCACTGAAAGGAACTGTGTATTTTCTCCATCAGATTCAACCAATTGAAGTATGTTGCTGTTATGAAAAATGCTCACAGCTAAGCTTTGAAAAAGTTAGTAAAAAACCCACCCCAATACTTACTTTGATCAGTGCTCTGTAAATCTCTAAGCTGATCTAGTTGATCTTTTTAAAACTACCTTTAAAAAAATTCTACTCAGTTTTTTAAAAACTACAGTTGATTGATGCAACCTGCACATAAAATGATCATGGTCTGCAGTTGGCCCCAAATACTTCATTACTTTTCCTGTTTTCCTCATAACCAAAAATAAGTCCTTAACTCTTACATTAATATTCTTTCATTGAGGCTTTTAAAAAATGAATCCCAAGGTTCTGCTATATTGTTGTTTTAATCTTATTACTGTTGTTCAGATTTTGAAACTTGAAGATAGTTGGAGTTAGTACATCAAAAGTATTTGTTACGGATTCAGTATTTCAACATATTTGCATAGTAATATTAGGTATATGAAAAGATGTAATTTCATTTTTCTCTTAAATTTACACTTATAGCTTACTTTGCACAACAAACTATGGCATGGTTCAGAATAGTCTTAAATGAATATAGGATTGTTCAGTATATTTGTGCTTAAAAACTGCAATTTCTTTTTTTAAAAAAGCTGTTCCTAATTCAAGGAATGATAAACTAGATAAATTTGAGTTGATATCGTGTATTTTTCTGTTGCTAAAATGGTCGAGGTAAAAAATGTGTGTGTTTGAAAATTTATGTTTGTTCATGAGCCCAAGGAATTGTTGAATATTAGAGAAATAATTTCAATTAGTAGTTTAAATTACTAAAAATCACAATTTAAAAATATGGTGATTATATCATAAATGAGTAAAGCCTTAAAATTTGCTGTTTAAAAACATTTAGTCCTTTTTAAGTATTAACCAAATGCCACAAAATAAAAATACACAGATTAAAAGGATACTTAAAAAAATACATCAGGGCCAGGTGCGGTGGCTCGCACCTGTAATCCTAGCACTTTGGGAGGCCAAGGCGGGTGGATTGCCTGAGGTCAGGAGTTTAAGACCAGCCTGGCAACACGGTGAAACCCCATCTCTACTAAAATACAAAAAAAAAAATTGGCCGGGCATGGCAGCGTGCACCTGTAATCCCAGCTACTCAGGAGCTGAGTCAGGAGAACTGCATGAACGAAGGAGGCGGAGGTTGCAGTGAGCCGAGATCACCGCACTGCACTCCAGCCTAGACTACAGAGCGAGACTCCATTTCCAAAAATACATCAGAACTTTCTATTTATTGAAATGGTAATTTGACAAAGGGAAAACAGCATTCTCTTTTTATTCTTAAAGAGTTACTTATGGCCTTAAATCAAAAACATATTGTCATCATTTACAGTGTAGCTCCATGTAGAGATAACCAGGTCTTTGACTTAAGGGAAAACTGTCACTAAATCAGTATAGCTAGTTGATTGAGCCCTAATCCGTGTGAATTCTCCATGAGTCTTACAAGTTGACATTACCCCAAGGACAGAAAGTCCCTGATACTGTTCATGCTAATACTAAGATGATTGTTGACATTTTCAGGTTGCCATTCTATTCAGCTTGCATACATTTTGCTCAATGGTAAGAATCATAAGCTAGTAAAGAATATTATGTTTTTTACTTCACAAATTCAAGTCTAGTGACTTGAAATTAGAATTTAAGTCACACTGTTTCTAGAACCTCTCAACAAATTACATCAGCTTATAGACATCTTTTTCTTGTAGCAAAACATACTGTTTTGTTGGCAAAAGGAGAAACCAAAATTTGACTGTGTTTTTATGGCTTGTGGAACACTCTCAGATGCTAAGGACGTTTTGAGGTTGTGATACTTGTCTGACATGTAGTATCCAGGAGATTCTTCTCTAATTATTTTAAGGATTGGGGGAAAATGAACTAGCTGACTTTATATTTGGAAAACTAAAACTCAAAACCTTTTTCATTGTTGATTATTCAGAAGGAATAATAGAACAGAATTATAGCTGAACAGTGTTCAATCAGAGTTAGAAGAAGTGAATACAAAATAATAATCAGAACTCTACAGAATATAACTGCAATGGAACAAAAGGTGGCAAGTACTTGTTATTCTTCAAACATGGGATCCATTACTTAGTGCCTCTACATACCTGATGATAAGTTAAGCAAAGCAGATTCAGAATTTAAATATTATGTATTCCCAAAAGAGGTAGATGAATCTTAAATATATATGAGAATTTAGGTCAAAATATTAAATAGCAACCAAATTATGAAATGTAATTTTATCCTATCTTTGCAAATGGTTAGTTCTTGCTTGGGAATTAGCCATTTAATAAGCTTACCATAATTCCAAAATTTAAAAGGTGATACCTGTGGTGATACCTAGGTGATTTAATCAGAATTAATTTTGTATAATGCCTGTTGTAATACACCTAATTTTAGTTAATAAATACCGTGTTTTAGATATCAGCAATGTTTGCAATATTTTTCTGGTTTGAAAACAATGAATGTAATTCCTTTTTCAGAATATTGCTTTCTTATATAAGATAAAAAATGTACTACTGTAATAATTATATACAGGTTGAGTATTTCTTATCCAAAATACTTGGGACCAGAATTGTTTTAATTTCCACTTTTTTGGATTTTGTAATATTTGCAATATATATAATGAGATATCTTGAGTATGGGACCCAAGTCCAGACACATAATTTACTTATGTTGCATATACATCTTATACAAGTAGCCAGAAGATAATTTTATGTAATATTTTTAATAATTTTGTACATGAAACAAAGTTTTGACTGTGTTTTGACTCTGATCCATCATATAAGGTCAGATGTGAAATTTTCTACTTATGGCGTCATGTGGGTGCTTAAAAAGTTTTGGATTTTGGAGCATTTCAGATTTCAGATTTTTGGATTAGGGGTACTCAACCTGTGTTAGTAAAGAGTTCAGTGTCCAAAGATGTAAAGATTTCTTCCTGAGTGTATCAGTAATTTAAATCCAAATCTCATCAAATCTGTCAATTTAGAAATGATTTTGGAAGGCCTATAACTAAAATAAGACAATTAGAATCTATGCGTATGTGTGTATATGCAATGAAAACATGTTTAATGAAATTTTGGAATTCAGTGGTTATTTCTGATACATGCTAGATAAATTATGAATCTTTTTTCTAGATGGATCAAAATATTTAAAAGAATAAAGGGAGCAATATAGGAGGAGGATAACTGTTGGTAATACACATTTTGAATATTTTTCTTAGTAAGTTTAGAAATTAAATCTTTTTGAATGAAAAATGGCAGAATACAGGGAGTGAAAACATGAATGGGTAAAGGACATGCTGCCTTTTAAATAAACTAGGAGAGCCTGTGTGCCTTTTTATAAGTAAAGCGGAACATTTTCCTAGAATCCCTGTTAAAAAGAGAACGGTATTTTTTTTAAACCACGGCAGTGCCAATTCTTTGCTACTAAATCAGTGACGTAAAGCATCTGTTTCCCAAGCTGCTCTTGTCCCAGAGAGCTAAAACTGCATTGCTCTCTGTGACAGAGCTCAGCATTAGGCAAATTATGCTGAGACCAACTCATTGGAACAAAGAGTTCCCATAGGCTGAAGCCACAAGCATCTGTTTCTTAGTGCCAAGATGCAAAATGTGCAAAATTCATGAATTGTAGATGAGTAGTATGAAATAGAAAGTAGAGATCATTGATGAGAAGAAATGTGTACATTCAGGACATGGCTGGGCTTTCTAATTCATAGAAACTTTTTCTGTAAATTGCTTTCAAGTTTTTAAAAGTTGCAATGAATATTTTCAGTGATAATGAGGATAGATGCAGAAGATGAAAGTAGTTCCAAATAAGCTAAAGGAAAACTCCCACAATGCCAAATATATTTATTCTTGGATAGCTTAGACTCTGAGACAACCCTGACTCAGCTGACCCAGTTAGTTGTTGATTGTGTTACTCATGCACTAAGGAAAGGTTAAAACACATATAGGTAATTTCAAAAGATAAAATCTCACTGAGGGAATTAATTTAATTTGATCTCTCATCACGTATTATTGGAACTGTCATCTTCTAGAGCTTTGAATCACTGTGATTGTACTTGTTCTTTACATCTTGTGGTACAGGTGTCATTTTTTAATCAAACAATCCATATAGTAAATCAGTAAAAGTAAAAATCATATAAAGGCTATGAATAATGGATAGTTACATGGTCTGCACACACCCACCCACACACATGCGGACACACACACATATCAACTCGAGTTGATAATATATTCCTTTTTTTCTATCCCAACCTTAAGGTGTTTTCTAACAAGGCTTTTTGGTTATCAGTGGATGAAAGTAACTGAAGAGGAAGAGAATGTGATTGGAATTCAATACCAAATTTACTCTTTCTTTTTTTATAGGCATGCATATCATTCTGTTTCAACTCCCCCTGTTTACCCTCCTAAAAATGTTGCCGACCTGAAACTACATGTGACAACTTCATCTCTGCAGAGTTCTGATGCAGTCATCATTCATCCTGGAGCCATGCTTGCCATGCTGGACCTACTGGCCTCTGTTGGGTCAGTGACACAGCCAGAAGTAAGCTTGAATATGTTAGTTCCTTCCCGTCTGTAATGAAATGAATGAAAGGATGTGAGTATGATTATATGAGCTAGGGGGTTGAGGAAGAAAGTTAATATTACATACTAAAGTAGCTGAAGGGGAAAAAAAAGGATTTTTTTATTTGAGTGTTACCTTTCATGATAAATGGTAGATATGTATGTTTTAGAATCTAATTCATTCATTACAAAGACAACCAAGGTGGCTTCTTCTGGTGCTAGAATAATTCTGTTTCTCCTTATAAATCCTGCTCAGCAGTGGACATTGCTAACGAATAATACAGAAGGAAAAATGACTGAAGATACTACATTGAGGCTATTTGTCTGTTTTGACTTGTTGCACTCAAGAGTTTGAGCGAATTGGAGTTTGGGTGATGATTTTTATTAAAATGTTATATAGCCTCTAAGGCCTAAAGTGTCACAGATGTAAACAATAGGCTTGCCTTTAAACTAGTTATCTGCCCACCATTAAGAAGATTTTATCCCTGCTATTTCTATAAAAATAGAACTACTTTTAGTCATATAGTCATGTAATACAAAAGGCTTGGAAGAGAATAGAGTCCAGCTGCCTGTACTTCTAGCAAATTAAAATAGGACATGTTTGCCTAACCTGTTCTGGAATTGCTATATTGCTCTAAGCAAGTTACTTATCTGAATGTATTTGGAAGCATATAGAGACTTCATATTAAAAGGTATGCTTCTGGCCAGGCGCGGTGGCTCACGCCTGTAATCCCAGCACTTTGGGAGGCTGAGGCGGGTGTATCACGAGGTCAGGAGATCAAGACCATCCTGGCTAACACAGTGAAACTCTGCCTCTACTAAAAATACAAAAAATGCAAAAAATTAGCCTGGCATGGTGGCAGGCACCTGTAGTCCGAGCTACTCGGCGGACTGAGGCAGGAGAATTGCTTGAACCCAGGAGGCGGAGGTTGCAGTGAGCCGAGAGCCGAGATCACACAATTGCACTCCAACCTGGGTGACAGAGCAAGACTCTGTCTCAAAAAAAAAAAAAAAGTATGCTTCTGCCGGGTGCGGTGGCTCACGCCTGTAATCCTAACACTTGGGAGGCTGAGGCAGGTGGATCACCTGAGGTCAGGAGTTTGAGACCAGCCTAGCCAACATGGTGAAACCCTGTCTCTACTAAAAATACAAAAGTTAACTGGGCGTGGTGGTGGGCGCCTGTTATCCCAGTTACTTGGGAGGCTGTGGCAGGAGAATCACTTGAACCTGCAAGGCAGAGGTTGCAATGAGGCGAGATCACACCATTGCACTCCAGCCTGGACAACAAGAGCGAAACTCCGTCTCAAAAAAAAAAAAAATTAAAAAGGTATGCTTCATGTGAAAAGAATTGTCATCTTTCTCACTAAGAATGACCTGACTGTGTGGATTTCTTTGTTGATTTTAGCATGCTTTGGATCTTCAACTTGCCGTGGCAAATATTTTACAATCCCTGGTGCACACAGAAAGGAACCAGCAAGTCATGTGTGAAGCTGGTCTTCATGCACGACTGCTGCAGAGGTGCAGTGCTGCATTGGCTGATGAGGACCACTCACTGCACCCGCCCCTGCAGCGGATGTTTGAACGATTAGCCTCTCAGGCTCTGGAACCCATGGTGTTGAGGTAAGTTCTCTTTCATACTCAAATAGTCCACAATTAGTAATGTCAGTTTCTAGAGTCCTTATGATTCCAGAATTCCTGCCTTAATGGACATATATTCAGTTATCTATGGGCAAAATATAACAAAAATGGACAAAATACTCAAAATATGGCACTTAGAAACAAATAAATCTAGTTATTAGTAATCATTTAGTGTTTCTGTCCATCAGTTATTTCTTTCATTTGAATCTAGCAAGCTCTCACTTTCCTTTAAAAATGAAGTCATGCGTTTACTTTATATTTAATAACTTTTCATATGTAAGAAGTTTTTAAAGAAATACTTTTTAACCTTTTAATTTTGAAATAATAGATTCACCATAAGTTGTGAATATAGATCCAAGAGTTTTCCTGTGCTCTTTGCCCATTTTCCTCCAGTAGTTACACCTTACATAACTATACTACAGTATCCAAACCAAGAAATTGATATTGGTATGATGTATTCATGTGCACATACAATTATCTGTTATTGTATCATGTGTAGATTCATGTAATCACCACACAATTACGATGTCACAAAGATTTCTCTAGTGCTACCTTTATTGTCATACCCACTCCCCTAACCCCAACATCGTTAGCCCTTAGCCCATGGAAATCACTGATCTGTTCTCCATCTCCATAGTTTTGTCGTTATGAGCAGGGGTCTCAAACCCCCGAGCCATGGACCAGTACTGGTCCATGTCCTGTTAGGAACTGGGCCGCACAGCAGGAGGTAAGCTGTGGGTGAGCCAGCATTTCCGCCTGTGCTCTGCCTCCTGTCAAATCAGCAGTAGCATTAGATACTCATAGGAGCGTGAACCCTATTGTGAACTGTGCATGCAAGGGATCTAGGTTGGGCACTCCTTATGAGAATCTAAATAATCTAATACCTGATGATCTGAGGTGGAACAGTTTCATTCTGAAACCATCCTCCACAATCCATCTGTGAAAAAATTGTCTTCCACAAAACCGCTCCCTGATGCCAAAAAGGTTGGGTACCACTGATTTTGAGAATGTTACATAAATGAAGTTATACAGTATGTGATCTTTTCAGATTGTCTCTTCACTAATCATATTGCTCTTGAGCTGCACACAAGTTGTTACATGTATCAGTAGTTTTTTCTTTTTATTATGAATAATGTTCCACAGTATGGATGTATCAGAGTTTGTGAATCATTCAAGAAATATATACTTACATATGTGTATTTCTTGAATGATTCATATATATCTGTCATTTCCTCCAGGAAGCCTCCTGCTTTGAGCCACCCTTCCAAAAGTCTGGGTAGGCTGCCCCTATATAAACTCTATAACACTGCTGTTACATAACTTATTATTAGAGTACTCCTCTTTTATAAAACTTTTAGGAGCTTTCTTAAAAATGGTTGAAATTTATTTGTAAGTTTTTAAAACTGACTCCAAACTGATTGTGGATTAAGAAACTTTTATGCAGTAAACATTTGTTAAATGGTGTTGTATCAGGCTGTGTTCACGGCCTTTATAATGCCAAGATGAGTGAGATGGACCTACTCACTTCATCCATTATCTTGTAGTTGTACTCACCGTCCTAAAGTTTTGAAAATAGCATTGAGATTTTCCCCTGATCCTTTTTGGTAATCTGCTACTTTAAAAGTAGAGAAACACACAGAGAGAGAGAGAGACATTGTCCCATACCTAATGCTACTATTTTACCAGATAACTTACATTGCATAGTTAGATAAATAGAATAAGCAATGAAAATCAACCATTGGGTATGGTCAGTTTTCACAATTAGTGAGTTCTCAGAAAAAAGAAGTCAAATGATGGTACAAGTACTTTGCTACTTAAAAGCCATAGATTATAAACTAATTGTGTCTAACGTTCTACATGAAAAACTGGCAAACCTAACTTGTAAGCCTTTTTTGTTTCCTGCTGTAGGGAGTTGAAAATTTGGAGTATTCTACTTTTTTTTTTAACATGATGTTATAAATGACAGGTTATGGAGGGTTTATGCTCTTAAAAAATGTATCGTCTAGTAAAGAATACATGCAGATAAGCAGGAAATGAAAATATTGTTTATTAAGTTCGTAATAGCAGTGTTACAGAGTTTATATAGGGGCAGAGACTTTTGGAAGTGTGACTCAAAGCAGGCTTCCTGGAGGAAATGACAGTTAATGAAATAAAGTATGAGGCCAGGCAGTGTGGCTCATGCCTGTAATCCCAACACTTTGGGAGGCCAACGCAGGAGGATTACTTGAGGTCAGCAGTTTGAAATAAGCCTGAATAACATAGTGAGACCCTGTTTCTACAAAAAAAAAAAAAATATATATATATATGTATTAACTAGCATGGTGGCGTGTGCCTGTAGTCCTTGTTATTTGGGAGACTGAGGCCGAAGGATCTCTTGGGCCCAAGAGTTTGAGATTGCAGTGAGCTATGATCACACCACTGCACTCCAGTCTGAGTGACAGAGCAAGAGGCTGTCTCACACACACAAAAAAATGATGATAAATAAAAAACTCTAAAGTATGGAAGAGAGTTAATCAGGTGAAAAAGTAAGGGCAAGATTTTTTTCCCCAACAAGAAAAACAAATATGGTGGTCCAGGGTAGAGAAGGAGTACAGCATTCTTAGGCAGTCAGAAGTTTTATGTATGTCTTAAGTAGAATTTATGATTGCGGGAAAGATGGGAGCAGTGAAGCTGGAGAGTACAGTAGAAATCATCTCATGTATGGTACTGAATGCTAGCTGTTTTGTGTTTTCAACTACAGAAATGGACAGCCATGGAAGAGTCTTAAGCAATAGAGTGACACTGTGTAGATTTAAGTTCTGTGAGATACTGACTATAGTGAGGAATGGATTGAGTTGGGGCAATATTGGTGTCACAGGAGGTAATTAAGACTCTGTTTTAGGAATAGTAAAATAATATGGTCTGGGTGATAGCAGCAAGAATGAGAGAAAAGAGCAGATTCCATATTTTTATGAGTAGAAATAGCAGGATTTTCTGATTTTCTGAATATGGAAAGTTAAAGAAGGAACAAAAACACATTTCAGTGAGATGCAGAACATAAGAAATGCCCTGGGTTTGGATATAAGGTGATGAGTTTGGTTTTAGAAATATTTGAGTTGGGGTTCTTCTTAAATATTATTAACTTCTAAAAAATGAATTTATAAAAATGTATAGCAGATATATAGCTATATGGTGATTAGATGTAAAACTAACACTGTGTATGTTTTACTATACTTGCATTTTTTGTATTGTAATTAGTCTGTTGGAATTTATTAAATTCCTTTTTTGAAAATGTTTGGTTTATGAATTATAATATTCTCAACGAAGGAATAACTGTCTAAAAAACATTCTAAAAAATATGTGTCAGATATATAGCTATATGGTGATTAAATGTAAAACTAACACTATATTGTTTTATTATACTTTGCATTTTTTTATTGTAATTAGTCTGTTGGAATTTATTAAATTCTTTTTCTGAATATTTGGTTAATGAATTATATAATAATCTCAATCAAGGAATAACTTTGCTTTGTCTCTTTCTTAGGGAGTTTTTACGTTTGGCAAGTCCTTTAAATTGTGGTGCCTGGGACAAAAAACTGCTAAAACAATATAGGGTCCACAAACCAAGTTCACTGAGTTATGAACCAGAAATGAGAAGTAAGTTTTGAAATTCCCTTTTTTGATTTATTTTATGAATGAAAATCATGTAGGGGATGAATATTATTTCAAGAAGTTTGTGAAAGCAAAGAAAGAGAAGGGTTTATTATTTAAATAGGGAAACAGGCCCGGCGCGGTGGCTCACGCCTGTAATCCCAGCACTTTGGGAGGCCGAGACGGGCGGATCACGAGGTCGGGAGTTCGAGACCATGGTGAAACCCCGTCTCTTCTAAAAAATACAAAAAAAATTAGCCGGGCGCAGTGGCAGGCGCCTGTAGTCCCAGCTACTCGGGAGGCTGAGGCAGGAGAATGGCGTGAACCCGGGAGGCAGAGCTTGCAGTGAGCCGAGATCGCGCCACTGCACTCCAGCCTGGGCGACAGAGCAAGACTCCGTCTCAAAAAATAAATAAATAAATAAATAAATAAATAAATAAATAAGAATTGAGTTGTGATTTCCTTTGCTAAGAGTAGAAACAAAAATAGTTCCTTTCCCTAAGAGAATATTTGAAATATCTTTGTAGTTGCCTGAATATCCAGCACATTTAGGAGGAAAACAGTTTCCTATACTCATGTAGTTTATTTCGAGAGAGAATATTTTCTTCATTACATTTGTAATGTGTCCCTGGAGAGATAATGACAATCTGTTTAGAATTTGTCTTTTTATTCTTGAAATTGTTACCCTTTTTATAAATATGGGAATCTTTAAATTAAAGTACTTTTACGATCATGCATTTAGTTCTAATAATTGTAAGGAAAGAATTAATAATGGGGAAAAAATGGGAGAAGCAAGTTTCTGCCATTTATCTCTAATTTGTTTTATAATAAAGATGACCTATTTCTTTTCATTTTAATGGTCTAAAATTGTTTACTTTTCCCTCAAAGAGAATTAATAAATCATAGTTTTATGAAATAAAAGTATTTCCTGATTTGTAAACTATTAACTGAGATTTATAATTAAATTACATTGTATCAGTGGCTTTGATGACAATTATTTGAGATGTTTATTTTTATTTATACTCTAGTTTCCAACATTTCTGCAGTGTGCATATTGCTTTAGTAAAAAAGGAAACGCATGCTATTAAGTTTAAAAGTAAATGTACATTAAAACTGGATAATGATCTTGGCACTTAAAAAAAAATTATTGTCTATTGAAACTGAAGTGGTATTTACAAATAAATCAGCCTTGTAAAGTTATTTTGAAATTCCATATGACATTTTCCCAAGAGATTTCCTTGACTTACAGGTAGTATGATCACATCTCTGGAAGGTCTGGGTACTGATAATGTTTTTAGCTTACATGAAGATAACCATTACCGGATAAGCAAGAGCCTGGTAAAATCTGCGGAAGGAAGTACTGTACCCCTGACCAGGGTGAAGTGTCTGGTCTCCATGACAACCCCACATGACATCAGACTTCATGGGTCATCAGTTACTCCAGCTTTTGTTGAATTTGACACATCACTTGAAGGGTTTGGGTAAGAAATTTGCAAGGAAGCCAACCTTTATGGTTTTATGCGTCATACTTGCCTTTACAAATAGATCTTTGGTTTTAAATATACTTAATTAAAATATATTTTACCATACTTAATATTTTTTAATTATTGAGTTTTTTGAGCATGCTATTTTAAGATTACTACATTTAATTATTTTTGTTTGTTATACAAAATAAATTGATATGACATAGGAATCCAAAATCTTAGGCCCATGGACCAAATCTGTTTTGTTAGTAACACTTTTGCAAATTTTTTTTTTTTTTGTAAATGAAGTTTTATTGGAAAACAGCCACACTCATTTATATTTCCTATGGCTGCTTTTGTGCTAGAGTGTCAGAGTTGAGTAGTCATGATGGAGACTGCCTGGTTCACAAAGCATTAAATATTTATGATTTGGCCCTTTCCAGAAAAAGTCTGCCAACATCTAATGTAATAAATATAAATGTATAGATAATATATAAATTAAAATTAGATTGAAAACTCTTTGGGTTTTATCATCATCTATCCTTCAAATTACCTAGTATAATAATTTATACATTATAAATATTCAATGACTGTCACTTCAAATGAATAAATTATTTCAAGTGGCAGAAAAGATTATAGTAACAGAAATGGCAATAATGAATCTAAAAAATCTATAAGAATTCATGAAGTTCAACAGCCTAAAATAGACACAAATGCTAATAGATCTGGTAGCTAGATCTGTTAGCTATTAGAGTTTTGTTTTTTTTTTTTCCTTTTGAGTCAGAGTCTTGCCCTGTCACCCAGGCTGGAGTGCAATGGCGCGATCTTGGCTCACTGCAACCTCCGCCTCTCAGGTTCAAGCATTTCTCCTGCCTCAGCCTCCCAAGTAGCTGGGATTATGGGCGCACGCCACCGCGCCTGGCTGATTTTTGTATTTTTAGTGGAGATGGGGTTTCGCCATAGTGGCCAGGCTGGTCTCGAACTCCCGACCTCAAGTGATCTGCCCACCTTAGCCTCCCAACGTGCTAGGATTATAGGCGTGAGCCACTGTGCCCAGGCTTAGAGTGTTAATTCATAATTTTTATCTATACTAGTTGTTTGTGGGATTCTTATATTGATTGAAACCTCTGTGTTTTAAGAATATTATCATGGGTCATTATCAAACAATAGATTAAAACATGATTGGGAATAGTCAAAAGCAATCAGTGGTAACAAGAGAGTGACAGTAAGGGGCACATGGGAGTTTTCCTTCAGTGATGAAATTGTTCTAATGTCTTGATTGGGTTTATACGTTAGAGTATGTTGCCATATGCATTTTGTATCTTCATTTTTTTTTATTTTAAGTTAAAAATGTTATTTTGGGAGATTTTAAAATTATGTCTTTTGATACCCTTACATAATTAAAAGAAGGGAAGGGCTTTGCGAGGCATCCAGATTTATTCCATGATCTTTTCTCTAGTCACCATTAAATACTGGCAGTTATTTCACTGTGGTAAGTGCACAGTGTTAAGAGAAGGAGTCATTGATCTCTAATATGTATGTTGTCTTTTCTTTAATAGATGTCTTTTTTTGCCCAGTTTGGCCCCTCATAATGCTCCTACAAATAATACCGTCACAACAGGTCTTATTGATGGGGCTGTGGTCAGTGGCATTGGTTCTGGTAAGTAATATTTGCTTTCTGCTTATGAGTTTTTTTTCTAGTAGATTATATATAATTTAGAGTTTATTTGCTTTTGTTGGCATCTTTTAAAAAATATAAATATTAATCAACACAGACTTTTTTTTTTAATTTTTACTGTAGGTGAAAGATTCTTCCCTCCTCCCTCCGGCTTAAGTTACTCTAGCTGGTTTTGTATTGAACATTTTAGTTCTCCTCCAAATAACCACCCTGTCAGACTTCTTACTGTTGTGCGCCGAGCAAATTCTTCTGAGCAACATTACGTGTGCCTTGCAATAGTTCTATCAGCAAAAGACCGATCTCTGATTGTTTCCACCAAAGAGGAACTCCTCCAAAATTATGGTCAGTATTTTTTTTTGTTTTCTTCTTTTGATTATAGAAGTATTAAAACTTCATTTTTGTATTTATTTTAAAAGTCCAGCTAATAATAACTTTTCAGCTTAAATTATTATAGCATAGAACAAGTTACATAAAACATTGAATATTGCTTACCAGTGAATTTTAAGGCACTTTCAAAAGAGACTTACAAAACAGTGGAGGGAGTGAGTACCTAATAAGGACTAATCTCTACTTGCCAAGAAATCACAGCTTTTCCTAGGAAAGCAGGTTGCTTGTTTGATGTATTTTGGTAAGGATTATCATTGGCTGTGAATTCTGCTTAATTAATTAATATTCATTGAGCACCTGCCTGCCATATGTGCCACACTGTGCTAGCCACAATAACATTTCAATTACCTTATCCATCACTTACCTTCAAGATGTAATACATACTATTTTATAATTCTAATTCCTTAGTTTTCTCCAACATGCCATGACTTTACAGTGCTGTACAGTAGAACTCCAAACTCAAGGCATTCATGAAGATCCTGCTAAATGATAAATAATTTAAAATATAAATCTCAATTTACTTAATTTTCTTTGCTCAAGAATATAAGCATTTTGTATAAATGTGATTTTTTTGGTCATCTAATTTTGTTCTTTTAGCTAAGTAAAATAATATCACATATTAATTGACATGTGGTTGGTGTTCAATAAATATTAATATAATATGAATGTTAGTCTTTTAATTAGATTGTAAGGTTGTAGTATTCCTCATGGTACCTAGCACAGAGCTAGGCATCAATATAGTTAGTACTTTAAAATTCTTGTTATGACGCTTTATTTGCCCCTTTAGTAGCATGTAGTCCTGTTGACTAATTCGTCCTAATTAAAACTACCTCCAGTCTTGCATTTGAGAATACTCACTATTTCTCTGATCTTTGTTTTGCAATTTCCTTCAATCGCTTTCTCTTCTATCTGCCCCTCAGAAGTAGTATTCTCCAGTGTTTCACCTTTGATCTTTGTACTTGACCAGCTCTTCATGGGAAAAAATAATGAACTAGTATTGCTTTAAGTCTTTTTATCTCAAGGACTGTGAAGTCAAAGTTTTTTTTTCATTTGTCTATGTCCCAAGCTATGTCCTCATATTTCCAGCTGCATATTAGACATCTCCATATGAACAGTATTCCAATAAACATCTCAGATTCTAATATTTCTTCTTTATAAAACCTACATCTCCTTTAGGAGGCTGAGGTGGTGTAGGATTGGTGAAGCCCATGAGTTTGAGGTTACAGTGAGCTGTGAAGGTGCCATGGCACTCCAGCCTAGGAGAGACACCCAGTTTCAAACAAAAACAAAAAACCTACATCTCTTTCTGTTTTCCTGTGTTGATAAATGACACAACCACTGCCAGTTAGCCCAACTAGAAACCTGAGTCAACTTGAAAATACCACCCTTTCTACTAAGTCTTACTGTAATATGCCTCCCTAATATTTCTCAAATCTTCCCTTCCTCCCTGTGCCCACTTCCATAGCACTTGTTTAATAATCTTCATCTCTTATCTAGACTTCATAGATTTTAATTTTTAATTTGTTTTGTCTGCTTATCTTTGTAATCTAAGCTGCCCTGTCATCTAACACAGTACCTAGAATGTATTAGGCATGCAGATATTATGTAAACTTATAAATGCATGAATAGAGGAAATGAATGGTCTGAGGAAGAAACAACGAGAAAAGTGAATAATAATGGGGAATTTGAAGACACCCTAGAATTTAATGGGAAAGTTAAGGAGTGGATCTGGAGATAAATCTGTAAACTAGGAAAATATTTTCTAACTCTTATCTCATTTTTATTACTAAATGTAATTTGCCAGGCTGCTATAGTCCATATATGATTAGAAATGACGGTAACATATGCATTAGTATTGCCAGGATTCATTCTCCGAACAGCTGTAACCCATTAAGATGCCTAGGAGATTAGGAGTTGTCATAAACCAGTTGGCTCACTGAGATATCCTGACACACCACTCAGTGCTGGAAATGTCTTAGTTCAAACCTAAGTCAGAAAGTGAAACTCTCACAAATGTTTGTAAGGAATATCTTCTTCAATACTTGAGAAGACTTACAGTCTACGAACCAGGGAAGGAAGAGGGACAAGTTCCTTGTTTCACCCATATGTTCATATTTACTTTCACCTCCATTGGTCCATAACACTAGACCTTTCAAGGCTTTAGGACCCTGCTTTCTGCCTAGTTTATTCAGTTCCTATATCAAGTCACCTCATGGATAAGATTTTTACCTGTGTAATAGTCTTATCAACAGACATATATTCTGAATTGCCATTCTAAAATATAATCTTGGTATTTAAGTATGTGCAGATATTTTAAGATTCTAAAAATAGAAATAAATATTTTATTTGCATTTTCTTCTTCATATCACATAAATTTTACTTTCAGTATATTTACTTGTTTGTACATGCAGTGAAAAATACTGGATCTGCTTTAAATTATATGGTTACAGGTTAGCTCTTCTTAATTTTTTTTAAAATGAGTATTTAAAATCTGGTTTTCCACCGCTGTCTTGCCATTTGTTAAGTACTGATAAAAGGTAAATTAATTTTTGTTCAGCTTAACAATAAAATTAAATTAATATGAAACCATTATTTCTTAGCATGGTCTGGTAACATATAGGGTAGCAAAAAGGAGCCAGATTGGAGTCAGGAAGTAATTGTAGAATGGTAGCAAATCAGAATATATTTATATACGTGGGACAAAGTTGTCTGATGAAGCAGGAAACTTGGATCAACAAATCACTAGTCTGTGCTGTAAATCATCTCCTTCTTACTGCCTTTTATTATGGACAGTACAGCCACTAATAATAGATAGTTGTCCTCTTGTGTCGTTGAGCATAGCATATAGCAAGAATAAACTTTACATTTTTCTCGGTTCTTTTTCTAACCCATACTGTAACCAAATCAATGTCAAAAAGTTAACAACACATTATTGTTGTTATACAACATTATTGTCATACAACAACATTATTGTTGACTATAGTTGCAGTGTTGTAGAGCAAATCTCAAGCTTTTTTTCCTCTTGCCTCACTGAAACTTCCTGCCATTTGATTAGTAACTCCCCATTTGCCCCTCCCTCAAGCCCTTGGCGACCAACATTTCATTCGTTGTTTCTCTGAATTTGGCTATTTTAAATACCTCATATAAGTGGAGTCACGCAGTATATGTCTTTCTATGACTGGCTATTTCATTTAGCATAATGTCCTTAAGCTTCATCTATGTTGTCAGATATTGCAAAATTTTCTTCTTTAAGGCTAAATATTATTCCATTGTATATATGTACCACATTTTCTTTATCTACTCATCTGTCCAGGGGAGTACTGATACCTCTTTGAAGTCCTGATTTCAGTGATTTTAGATAAGTGCCCAGATATGGTATTGCTGGATTATATGTTAGTTCTATTTTCAGTGTTTTGAGAAACGTCTGTACTGTTTTCCATAGCAGCTGCAGCATTTTACATTCCCACCAACAGTGCGCAAGGGTTCCAGTTTCTCCACATTCTTGCCAACACTTGTGTCAACACTTTTTTTTTTTGATAATAGCCATTCTGACAGGTGTGAGGTGATATGCCATTGTGCTTATGGTTTGCATTTCCCTGATGATTAGTAACATTGAGCATTTTTCATATACCTGTCTGCCATTTATGTGCCTTCTTTGGAGAAATGTCTATTCAAGTTCTTAGCTCATTTTTAATTGATTATTAGTTTCTTTACTATTGAGTTCTAGTAGTTTCTTATGTATTTTTGACATTACTGCCTTATGAAATACATAGTTAGCAAATATTTTTCTCCCATTCCATAGATTCCCTTTTCACTCTGTTGTTTCCTTTGCTATTCAAAAGCTTTTCAGTTTGAGATAGTCCCACTTGTTTATTTTTGTTTTGGGTGTCAACTAGTCTCTTTTTAGTGTTTATCATAACGTTATTGTCTCTTTATTTTTATGTATTTTTTACTTCATTAGCTAACTTTTGTTCATTGTAACTTTATGTGATTATACCTATATTTCTTGAGCAGAAGAGAGCAAAAATACATTCTAGGTTTCACTTTACTGCAGGTAAGGGTATTGCATGAATAAGGTATCTTCTGTCTGCATTATCTTTTTATTTTTATTTACTTATTTTTTTTGAGATGGAGTCTCGCTCTGTCACCCAGGCTGGAGTACAGTGGTACAATCTCAGCACTGCAAACTCTTGCCTCCCAGGTTCAAGCATTTCTGCTGGCTCAGCCTCCCGAGTAGCTGGAACTACAGACGCGCGCCACCATACCTGGCTAATTTTTGTGTTTTTAGTAGAGATGGGGTTTCACCATGTTGGCCAGGCTGGTCTCGAACTCCTGACGTCAGGTGATCCGCCCGCCTCAGCCTCCCAAAGGGCTGACATTACAGGTGTGAGCCACCGTGCCCAACCCGCATTATCATTTTTTTTTCCAGAGTTGTATTATTACTCAAATCAGTCTGCATCATTATTTTGTTTTAACATAAAGTCAAAACATGCTGATCTAGATATGAATAATTTGAATAGGGATGGTGTTGGAAAAAGTTTTTATGTCTTCCCCCCTTTATTTCAGTTGATGATTTTAGTGAAGAGTCCTCATTTTATGAAATTCTCCCATGCTGTGCTCGCTTTCGATGTGGAGAGCTTATCATTGAGGGACAGTGGCATCATTTGGTCCTGGTAATGAGCAAAGGCATGTTGAAAAACAGTACTGCAGCCCTTTATATTGATGGACAGCTTGTTAACACTGTAAAGGTAAGTGTATGTGCACTTGTAAATCTACCTGTTTTATAAGGTAGTAGTTTGGGGGGTGTGTGTGTGTGTGTGTGTGTGTGTGTGTGTGTGTGTTACAGGGATATTTTTAAAATTACTTTCTTAATTTTAAGTTGATATTCAGTACCCATTTGAATAATATGTTAGACTCATGTGGCCAATTCTTAAACCATTTTATTAGAGAAGAATAGAAATGAGGGCTTATAGGTACTAAAGAAGTTGCTGAATATGCAAGAGCTTAAGCCAGATTGCTAGGTGCTTTTTCATAATAGAGGAACCAGTTGAAGGATTCATAAATAACGGTGAACACACTATTTTGCCACTTCATTATTGTTGTTGTAATTTAGTCCAGAAGACTTACATTCTTTAGAGCTAGAATTGTTTTTTTTTCTTTGTTTTCATATCACCCAGATTAGTCCCTGATAATGATAGTAGGTATTTAGTTTATTGTTTCTTGAATGAATGACTACATAAACATTACTGTAGATTGTGATAGTATTTAGAATAGAAAAAAAGAGTTGATTATCAAGTAAAGAAACAAGTGAAACTCCCTTTTTCTGAATGAGAATAAATCCTGCTTGTTACTTTGTACAGAACTCAGTTCGCAAGCTCTGAAAATTCTTGACCTTCTAAAAGATAGTATTCATTTTATTTTATTTTATTTTATTTTTATTGTTTTTCCTTTTTTAAGATGGTGTCTTGCTCTGTCGCCCAGGCTGGAGTGCAGTGGCACGATCTCAGCTCACCGCAACCTCCACCTCCTGGGTATGAGCAATTCTCCTGCCTCAGCCTCCCAAATAGCTGGGACTACAGGCATGTGCCACCACACGTGGCTAATTTTTGTATTTTTAGTAGAGATGGGGTTTCACCATGTTGGCCAGGCTGGTCTCAAACTCCTGACCTCAGGTGATCCTCATGCCTCGGCCTCCCAAAATGCTGGGATATAGCCAGTTATCCATTTTAGGGCGATCACTTGAAAGAAGTAACAAAGACAAAGTTTGTCCTTGTGTGTGAATTAAAGTTTGAAAAGCACTGAAACCAGCAGTATCTTTGAATATATTTCCTTCCTTGATGATGATGATATTTTATTGTGACATTGTGTTTCAATATGATAAACCCTAAAATGCACCTTGTGGAATAGTCATTGATTTGTTTGTATACATGATTGCATTTGAAATGGGTTTGTAGATTCTCTAGTACGTTGCTCCTTCATTAATTTTAGTGTCATTAAAAATAAAAATGCCCTCAGCTTCTAGAGTTGAGCAATAGGAAATTTATTATTGATTTATTTACATCATCATCACTGTCCCTGTCAATAGTCACAGTACTGTGAAATCAACTCTAGCTCTTATGTTGGTCTTCACAATTGTGCTATTAACATCACCAAGAACTGCTGTTTAATATATAGAATAATGAATAGGATCTGAAGCTGAGATGTTATTATGACACAGCAGTTAATGGAAGTGTCCTTCATCCCATTAAGCTGCTTCAGCAAGAAAAAGCAACTTAAGTTCTTTATCTCTTATACTGTACTTAATTATATATTTATTATAATAATTTACCCCTATAAAACGCTTTTCATCAGTAATTTTAGTTAACAGACTCACATTGAAGGTAACATACCTAATTTCAAGACTACTTTAATTCCATAGTGGAAAGCTCTCTTTATATCAGCACAAAAATTTCAGAGAAGCGTCATTAACTTGATGTGCAAACCAGCCATTGACAGTATCCCTGTATTTGCCTGTTGCCATTTCTAGCATTAAAGAGTTTATCTGTGTTAGAGAGTTGGATAAAAGTTTTAGCTACTATACCTGGTCCTCAGTTACAGATCCCAGTATCGTGCCTTGCCCTTCCTGTTTCTCCACCCCAAATGTTTTTGTGCATTTGTAAAGTTGTGTGACCTTGGGATAATGAAAATACATATGCTGAAGTAGTTATTTTCCTGGGGAAAGTGTTCACATCTCACACATTTGCTTTTGTCTTCCTTACAGCTTCATTATGTCCACAGTACTCCAGGGGGTTCAGGTTCGGCAAATCCACCAGTGGTGAGCACGGTCTATGCCTACATTGGTACTCCACCTGCCCAACGCCAAATTGCCTCATTGGTTTGGCGCCTGGGACCCACACATTTTCTAGAAGAAGTTTTACCTTCTTCAAATGTTACTACCATTTATGAACTTGGACCAAATTATGTTGGAAGCTTTCAGGCTGTATGTATGCCATGTGAGTAACTTATTTTTAGTTCTTGAAGTTGTATGAAACTTAACTCCTGCAATATAGATGCATGTGTGTGTCTGAGGTTATACATATTGTTAATCTAGGAAAAGCGCCTTCTCCTCTAATCTTCTTCAGCAGGATACTCACTCCTATTGAAAATATTTTCCTCCACTGATTATACTGCACTTTCTGGATTCTTTGTCTTTATGTCTGATCGCTTATTATCCAGTTTCTCTTACTGGCTCTGAGATATAGGTATATGCCCTCTAGGAGTCTAACTGTGACACTCTTCTCTTTCTGTGATTTCTCCTATTACATGAAGCAGTTTAAAGTATAGCCACCCCTGTTAAAGGAAGAACAGATAGGTTCAATAAACACACACACATATTCTCTAGATGAGATCACTTAACATTATTTTTCCTCATTTCTTTACTCCAAGCCTACTTTTTGTTATCCTTTCTCCCAAATGAAATTTAGACTCAGAGGAACTGATGTTAAGCTGGCAGTTCCTTGGTAGTACTCCTTGCAAATGATGGTCTTCCACTCCCTTGTTCTGATTCCACCAAGAATCTCAGAAGAGTTAGGACAAGTATATTGTAAATGGTCATAATCCTAAGATTTAGTAATTTATCTTTTCACTCATTCTTAATTTAGATGGTATCTAATAAAAGCTAACACTTCTTGGGCACTTACTGTGTGCTAAATAAGTCAATACACATGAAGGATGTAGCTGTTCTGAGCCCTTCACATGTATTTATTCATCTCAAAACACTGTGAGTTAGGTACTGTCATTATCATTCCCATTTCACAGAAGAGGAAACTGAGGCACAAAGACATATAGGTCGCACAGCTTTTAAGTGATAAAGCAAGATTCAAACTCAGGCCATGTAGCTTTAAAACACATGCCTTTATTAATAACTCCTCTGCTTTGTGGTCTCAAAGAATACAGGCAGGCATATCTGAGTGCTTTTTTAGGGGAGGGGACATAGTGCTACATGGCTGATCAGCATTTTATTCATCTTCATTCCTTTTTCCTTTGAATCTAGGGGGACATGTTTTACAGTTTGTCAGATAACAGTTAAAACTTTTCATCCTTTACGTTGTGCTATATGTTAAACATGTTTTAAGAGTGGCACTTAGAATGTAGAACTCTATGACTAGATTTCTTTTTCCATCTTTTAATTAAAGAAATAAATGAAGAGCTGAGAAGATAGTTTTTAAATTTACCTCTCTTATTCTACTTTAAGACTTTCAAGCCTCCTCATTTAAAAATGATAGTAAGAATAAAAAACTTACTTTAAGATGAGAACTACTGATGATTTTGAAAAGAATTATTCTTCTTTTGAAGGTAAAGATGCAAAATCCGAAGGGGTGGTGCCATCCCCTGTGTCATTAGTACCAGAGGAGAAAGTGTCATTTGGCCTCTATGCACTCTCTGTGTCGTCTCTAACAGTGGCAAGAATCCGGAAAGTGTATAACAAATTGGATAGCAAAGCCATTGCTAAGCAGGTAAGCAGAATGATTTCTTGGTGTACTATGGCTGATTCTCACTGGGAACATGTCTCAGAGTCTCATATGGATACTACTCAATTATGAGTGACTGCTAAAAATCATGCCTTTCATGTATTGTTTATGTTTGGTTAATTTGACTTCAAATGTAGGCCAAAACACATGTAGATATGTAACTTAATTTGGAAAAGTGACAGTTTCTGTTATGAGTACATAATTCATATTAATTTATTTATATTGGCAATTAAGAAATTTAACTTTAGAAAACTAATGAAAACAATTACTGTTTTTAAGGCTACAACTCAACTTTTTAACGAATGACCTATTATGTGCCAGGTGACATTCAGTTCAGGACATAGCAGTGGATAAAAAGAAAATTTCTGCTTTTATATTTCCTACATTCTAGTGGAAAAGACAGATGATAATACCTAAAGAAATAACCTAATCATGAAGTATGTTAGAAGGTGATGGTGCTATGCAGTAAAATAAAGCAGGGAAGGGGAAAGAGAGAAGCTTCAAGTTTTTAATATGGTGGTCCAAGGAGACGTTACTGAGAAGGTTAATTTTGAGCAAAGACTTGACAGGGATGAGGTAACAGGCCACAGGAATAGGGAGCATGGGATATACCTATGGGTGTGGGAGTGTTTTGTATTCCAGGAATACAAGTGCAAAGGCCCTGAGAAGTGTACTGTACGTACCTGCCATGGAGACAGATGTGGATGCAGTAAAATTAGAGAGGGCCCGGGCAGTAGGAGAGGAGCCCAGAGTGACGATGGGTCTTAGGTTGTTTAGGATTCATGGGGCAATTGTAAAGACATTGGCTCTGATGGAGAAAGATGGGAGGCATTATGGAGTTTCAGACATAGGAGGGAAATGCTGTAACTTACATTTTATCACTATGACTTCTATTGACAATAGGTTGAAGAGAAACAAAGGTAGTAGCAGAGAGACAAGTTATGAGGCCAATGCGATAAATAATTCCTATGAGAGATTATGGTGGTTTTAATTTGGGCAGTAGCAGTGGTAGTGATAAGAAGTGATCAGATTCAAGGTGTGTATGTGTGTGTGTGTGTGTGTGTGTGTGTGTATATATATATATATATATATATATATATATATACATATACACTTTTTTTTTTTGAGATGGAGTTTGCCTCTTGTCGCCTAGGCTAGAGTGCAATGGTGTGATCTCGGCTCACTGCAACCTCTGTCTCCTGGGTTCAAGTGATTCTCCTGCCTCAGCCTCCTGAGTAGCTGGGATTATAGGCATGCACCACCATGCCCAACTGATTTTTGTATTTTTATTAGAGACAGGGTTTCACCATGTTGGCCAGGCTGGTCTCAAACTCCTAACCTCAGGTGATCCACCTGCCTCAGCCTCCCAAAGTGCTGGGATTACAGGTGTGAGCCATCCCACCCGGCTCAAGGTATATTTTAAAAGTTGACCTAGCAGTTTTGTGTGATAGAATGTGGAATGAGTGTGGAAGGTGAGAGAGTTAAGGACTCCAGGTTTTTTTCTTGAACAGCTAGGAAAATGGAGTCACATTTTCTGATTTGGAGAAAACTACAAAAAGAGTAGAGTTGGGAGGAATATTGAGAATTCTGTTTTAGAAGTTTGAGAAGTGTATTAGACATCACAGTAGAGATTTCAAGGCCATTGGAAATACGAATCTGGAGTTCATTTATACAGGTGGTGTTTAAAGCCATGAGTCTACATGTATTCACCAAAGCATAGATGTAGATAGGGAAATGGAAAGTTTTAAAGACTGAAACCTGGGACGTTCCAGTGTTATGGAGTTGGGGAGATCAAGAAGAACCAGAAAAGACTGAGAAGTAGCAGTCAGTGAGAAGGGAGAAAAACCAGGAGGGCTTAATGTTGTAAGATCAAGGATTCACTGTGGAAATGACTTAAGTGGTCACAGTAAGATAAGAAGTGAGGACTGACTATGGGGTTTAGCAAGGTGAACTCATCAGTGAGCTTGACAAGCCATTTTGGCTGATTATCAGAGGCAAAGTCCAAGGGGAAGGATATCAAGAGACCAGGAACTGTAAGTATTGACAACTCTTACGCAGAGCTTTTGTGTGTGTGTGTGTGTGTGTGTGTGTGTGTGTGTGTATGTATGACACATATACATATCTAAGGAACATAAACTTCACATAACTCTATAGTGAACAACAGAATTAAAGTTATATTTGCCTTGAAAATAGATCTTGTGTATGTGTGAATGTACAAAATGTAAGATTCCTTTATGTAGGCATGTTTTATCTATAAACTCTTGGATAACTTATGTTTACTTGGATATGGAATAAAGCTAATATGTTCACTGATCTGAAATACTGTGAGGCAGTTAGTGATAACAACCTTTAAACTACCAAAGAACTTCATTCACAAAGACCCCTGAAGCTGTGTCTCAAGATCCTCTCACCATCTTTATCTCAGTAAATTGTGTTTAACTTACCTCCTGTGAGTTTCCACACTTTGGAAGTGTTTGTACATTTCCAAAAATAAATGCTCCCAGGCTGGAGTGTGGAGTGCCAGTGGCACAATCTCCGTTGACTGCATTCTCGACCTCCTAGGCTCAGGTGTTTCTCCCACCTCTGCCTCCTGAGTAATGCACCACAAGACCTGGCTAATTTTTTGCATTTTAGTAGAGATGGGGGTCTCGCCATGTTTCCCAGGCTGGTCTCAAACTCCGGGCTCAAGCGATTCCCTTGCCTCTATCTTACAAAGTGTTAGGATTATAGGCATGAGCCACCAGGCTGGACCTAAATGCTCGTTTTTCAGTATTCTGATAAGGGAGGAGAGAAAAGATATGTTACCATTCATGTGTTTGGTTTCTTTTCCAATCAAAACATTGAAACTGTTCTTATATAATTACATTCTTTTCCTTTCCTATTTTTCAGTTAGGCATTTCCTCACATGAGAATGCCACTCCTGTGAAGTTGATACACAATTCAGCAGGACATCTTAATGGATCTGCACGGACAATTGGGGCCGCTCTGATTGGATACTTGGGTGAGTGGACTTATCTTTGTTGTTTCAAACTTCTTTATTTGCCATCAAGTTTGCATTCACTTTCCTCACTTAAGGGGCAGTATTTAAGTTCATATTTTAATAGCACTGACCTATAGTGTACGTGCAGTATTCAGAGATTACATGTAACAATCTCAAATTCCAGTCAATTTAAAATAATAACCTTTCATAAAATCCCACTAACTTTTACATATCCACCAAGGAATACTATACAGCCATAAAAAGGAATGAGATCATGTCCTTTGCAGGGACATAGATGAAGCTAGAAATCATCCTCAGCAAACTAACACAAGAACAGAAAACCAAATGTTGCATAGTCTCACTCATAGCGGGGAGCTGAACAATGAGAACATACGGACACAGGGACGGGAACATCACATACCAGGGCCTGTCAGGGGAAGTGGGCCAAGGGGAGGGAGAGCATCAGTACAAATACCTAATGCATGTGGTGCTTAATACCTAGGTGACAGGTTTATAGGTGCAGCAAACCACCATGGCACATGTTTACCTATGTAGCAAACCTGCACGTTCTGTGCATGTATCCCAGAACTTAAAGTAAAATAAAAAAAAAAAATTGCACTGTTTCCCTCTTGTCAGTAATGATCAGCACTGACTATATAATTTCGTGTAACTTTTAGGTAAATTTCAAATTACATTTAGTGACAGGTATCAAAATTCAGAACTATTATTGATTGTTTCATGATTTGGTATATAGCTCATGAGTTTTTGTTAATTTAGAAATGAGCTAGAAATTAGAGCTTCTGAGTATAAACACTGACTCAAACTATAATAAAAATTTAGAGCGTGGACATTCTTCAGAGCCTTGTACATGTCTGCTTAAAACGTTATTTTTGTTTTTGTTTTTTTGTTA
Organism: Homo sapiens; assembly: GCF_000001405.40. Taxonomy (NCBI): domain Eukaryota; kingdom Metazoa; phylum Chordata; class Mammalia; order Primates; family Hominidae; genus Homo; species Homo sapiens. The sequence goes on along the minus strand of NC_000004.12, from coordinate 84,782,073 downwards.
GATAGGATCTTGAGACATAAACCAATCACGCCATTCAAAATTCAGAACCAGTGATTGTGACTTTTAATGTGTAAATCAGTATATAATACTGGTTCCTTTTTAGATTAATAAAAAGTTAGTGTTGTGCTGGTCAGAATCCAACATGTTTATTAGTCATTGGCAATTTTTATTGTCCCAGTGAATTGCATAAATGTTTGTTTTTCTTTTTTGATAATACAGCATTGGTAAAAATTTTCTTTACTCTAAAGCACGTGGTAGCGTTCTTTTATTCAAAAAATACTTACAAGCACTGTGGTATGTCCTTTTCAAAAGTATAGCAGCCCTGTGGTATAGTGGAAAGAGCAGTGAGCAGTAAGTTCAGAGACTTAGGTTCCAGCCCCTGTTGTGTCACTATGTGATATTATGCCATACAGTTAAGCTCTATGAACTTCAGTGTTCTTATCTATAAACTAGTAATACTGGCCCTAATTACCTTAGGAGCTAGTTTTCAAAATCCAGCACTGTAATATATGAAGGTATTGTGGGCTGGGCATGGTGGTTCACACCATGTAATCCCAGCACTTTGGGAGGCCTAGACAGGAGGATTGTTTGAGCCCAGGAGACTGCAATGAGCTGTGATTGAGCCACTGCATTCCAGCCTGGGTGACAATGAGACCCTGTCTCAAAAAAAAAAAAAAAAAACAAAAGGGAAAGAAGGAAAGAAAGTATTGTGAATACTGCAGAGCACATAGAAATATAATATGCATGTTACTTTTATTTTTTAAAATCTCAGTCTTGGTCAGCAGGCAAGTGACATTCAAACAATGCCTCTTTAAAATGTTAGGAATGTAGGTGTGATTTTTTTTTTTTTAATTGGCACACAGTTCCAGGACTGTGTTTCTATAAACTTATGCTCTCCTAAAGTTACTGATGTACTGTTACACAGATTACTTAACCAAGAGAAGCTCTGGGTAATGGTCAGTAATGTGCTTTGCTTGGTTTATCTATAGGAAATACATCATCCCCGCCAGGATAGCTTCTCCAAACCTTTCTCCAGTTCACAGAGTTAAAGTGACTTTTATTGTCCCCAAGGTTATTCCCCAACAGATGCTAGTAAGGCACTCTTACTTACTCAGAAATGCATTCTCAAGACCACTTACTTTTGAGTACAGCCCAGAGCTACACAGTAGAAACATTTGTGCTTGCTGTAAAGCCCTGCTCTTCTCTGCTCACTCCTCTACACCCAGTCTTCTCTAAGAGTATGTAGATTAGCTTTTTTTCCTTTTCAAAGAATTTTATTATTTATTTATTTATTTATTTATTTATTTTTTGAGAGGGAGTCTCCCTCTGTCACCCAGGCTGGAGTGCGGTGGCGCGATCTCGGCTCACTGCAACCTCCAACTCCTAGGTTAAAGTGAGTCTCCTGCCTCAGCCTCCTGTGTAGCTGAGATTGTAGGCGCGTGCAACCACGCCCGGCTAATTTTTGTATTTTTAGTAGAGACGGGGTTTGGGGTTTCACCATGTTGGTCAGACTAGTCTCAAACTCCTGACCTTGTGATCCACTTGCTTCGGCCTCCCAAAGTGCTGGGATTACAGGTGTGAGCCACCGTGCCCAGCCAGCCTGTATTGCCTTGTCCCAAATTCTACCTTTAATGCTTTCCCTAGAATTTGCATTATAGACAGAAGATATTTTTAAAATAAAACACTGCTAATTAAAAAACTTTTCAAGATGATGTATACAGTTCTTGTTCACATGGGGAATTTATCTTAATTATTTTTCACTATCTTTTAATCAGGAGTAAGAACATTTGTCCCTAAGCCTGTTGCCACTACTTTGCAGTACGTTGGTGGAGCTGCAGCCATCCTGGGCCTGGTGGCCATGGCCTCTGATGTGGAAGGGTTATATGCAGCAGTCAAGGCCCTGGTTTGTGTGGTCAAGAGTAACCCACTAGCCAGCAAAGAAATGGAAAGAATCAAGGGCTACCAGGTTTGTAACTGTAAAACTTTGCCTTCACTTCACCTGGCACCTAAAATACTCTGCTTTTTTATTATCATTCATGTTGTTTGAAACTCTGGAAGAATTATATTGTCCAAGGAAACTTAAAGAGACAGTAGTTTTATGAAAACTAATATATGTCAAATGAAAGTATGTATTGTTTCTTTATTTTGCTTTATCCTTTTTCTCCTATCTTATCAAATCTTACTAAACACTTGAGTTAGGCAACATTATTTCAATATAGCTTTAATACATTGAATTTATTTTCAGAACAAAGGTTTGCTGGTTTGAATGTTGTTTTTCTCTGTGGAAATGGGAAAGAAATGAAATGGGGTCCTATTCCCCCTTCCTGAAAGGATTGCCAAATCCATGGTAGATTCAGGGCTCTCCCTGTTTCCTTCTCTCTCCCCTCCACCTCACACCCCACCATCTTTTATCTCTGTTACTTACTCAGGAGACGTGAAAGCCACTACATAATAAGTGTACCATTGCTATTCCTGAAAACTAAAAATACAAAAATTAGCCAGGCATGGTGGCATGTGCCTGTAATCCCAGCTACTTCAGAGGCTGAGGCAGGAGAATCGCTTGAACCTGGAAGGCGGAGGCTGCAGTAAGCCGAGATTGCGCCATTGCATTCCAGCCTGGGCGAAGGAGCAAGACTCAAAAAAAAAAAAAAGCAGCATTTATGTATCCACAGTCAGAATTAGATAAAAAATCACTTGTAAGAAGAGGAACAAATACTTGAAGCAAGATTAAAACCTATCATACACGAAGTACAAATGCCTTCTGCAAGTTTAACCATTAGTTTATTGATAATGAATATACTGTTTACTGTGTTGTATAGATTTAATTATAGTATTTCAATAAGTGTTTTCTTTTGCAAAACTTTCAAAATGATTATTGCAGCGTTGTTTATCATGAAAAAATAGAACAATCTAGATATACCAGTAATAAGAGAATGACTAATTATACTCTAAGCATTCCATAGACTATCATTCAACCTTTTAAAATTGTAATTATTAAGACCGTGTTGCAAAAAAAAATACTTTATAACACAAAAAGTGTATATTTAAGTAGTTACCATCATGTGCATACAATTTTATATTCTTGCTGTGATGTTTTCATTATACATACAATTTTATGCACGCGTTGGTAACTATTTACATATTTATAATGGAATTGAAAGGGTAAATGTAAAAGTGGATATTTTAATAGAATGTTAAGATCCCTTTGTTTTTCAGATTTTACCTAATGTTATATTTTCATAATAAAAATTTAGAAATTAACTTAATAATCTCAGAAAATCATCTACATAGGATTCTGTGTGTATGTGTGTGTTTGTGTGTGTATGTGTGTGTTTGTGTGTGTATGTGTGTGTTTGTGTGTGTGTAATGAATATATATGATGATTTATCAACAGGCATTTGGTATTACTTTCTTGTAGTTGCTGGCAATGTTGCTTAAGAAGAAACGTTCCCTTCTTAACAGCCACATCCTCCATCTAACTTTTTCTTTGGTGGGAACTGTTGATAGTGGACATGAGACCTCCATTATTCCAAATTCAACTGCTTTCCAGGACCTCCTCTGTGATTTTGAAGTATGTATATAAGCATAATTGATAATATATAATCAATGAATGCATTTCTTACTCCATATGATTATAAACTATTTTATCTCTAAAATGTGTTTAAAGCCCTATAATTTTATGATGTTCATGTTAATATCATTTAGTAAAATATAAAAAGTAGAATAATGCTGGGGTTCCTTTTCTCCAAGGATATTCCATTTTGCAAATATTTTAGAAGTGAAATGGTATGATGCATATCCCTAACTAGCTGATTTGCTGCTGGCAGTGGCATTACATGAGTCAAACATAGTTTCATCAGGCAATTCTGATAGAAACTTTTTCTTGATAAATAGGACCTAGACCTCTAATTTTGGTTACAGCTGCATGGTAAAATATCATTCATTTTATGTTCACATTTCATAGTCTACCTTTTCTGCTTCTACTGCTATATCCTAATTCAAGCCCTAATCAATCCTTCTCCTATTCATACTAGAATAACTATCACTTCTTTTTCCCCTTTGCTCAGGCTGTCCTACATACCCTTGGGACCTCATTCTTTCAAAGGCATTTTCATTTCTACTGGCTTATTACTGTAACAGCTTACACTCTGTTCTCTCAAGGCAACTCGTGATCACTTATATCCTTTTTCCATTTAATTTCTTGTTTACAGCACTTTGCATGTTAGTTATTATGTACTAAATTTATGTAATATATCCCTGTGAAACTGTAGGATCTATGGGCTTTATGATTGGGGAAATCATGTTTATCTTCTTTGTCTTTGTGTTCCTACCACCTAGAATAGTGCCTAGCACTTAATATTTGCGAACTCTTGTGTCTAGGCCCTAACCCTTCTTCCTCACAACTTCTGTAAGCTCTGTTTTGTCAATTATTGAATCCCTCACAAACAGTGTGCCCTAATTGCTTTACTGACACTGTATTTTCAAAGCTTACTAGAAGCTTCCCCCTAAATAAAAATCTATGGCCTGTACTCAGTTTTCAGCATCCGCAGCTCTCAGTAACATTGGCTATTGTCTGTTTCCCTCATATTCTTTCAAGTTATACTTCTTTTGCTAGCTTTCAGGTGTTAATATCCTGGTTCTTACATCTTTCTTACTATTTTTTTCTATTATTTTCTTGCAGCAATGTTTTCATTATTTTATGTAAGGATGTTCATCTTTACTTTTTTACATTTTCCTTTATTTGTTGTTTTCCTTTCTTTAAACTCTTACCTAGGCTGACGGTCTCATCTCTGTGGAGTTGATCCTCAAATCTAAATCTCTAACCTTGACATCTGAATTCCAGACTTATTTTTAATTCTTGCTCAGTCAGCACTGTCCCACCAACACCTTAACTGAACTTAGCATCCCTCTCCAAATTAGTTCTTCCTTCTAACTTCTCTATTTCTCTTAATAACACCACCATTCCCCTAGTCACCAAGTCTTGAAATTGAAAACATCAGCTTCCTTCTTCCCTGTGTATAAACAGTCTGATATTGTCATATAGGTTCTACTTTCACATTTCGTAGTCTGCCTTTTCTGCTTCTACTGCTATATCTTAATTCAAGCCCTAATCAATTCTTCTCCTATTCATACTAGGATAACTATCACTTCTTTTTCCCTTTGCTCAGGCTGTCCTACATACCCTTGGGACCTCATTCTTTCAAAGGCATAATCGTATCATTTATTCAAGGACTTTCAGTGATTTTCCTTTTCTACACTATAAAGTACACATTTCTCAGCCTAGTATTCAAAGTTCTAATATCCAAACCTCTTATTCTTTTAGAAAGCACTTGCTGAGTATTTTTGAGGCAAACACTATATTAGTTACTAAGGATGTGAAAAGAAAAAGTAAGAGTCCACAGCTCAAGGCATTTAGTCCATTAGAGGAAAAAGACAAAGAAATAGATAATTTAAAACTTGTGAAAGCCCAGAGATGGTAGACAGAAGGGATTATGGGAACACTAAGAAGACCTACCTAACCCAGCCTAACCTTGTTTTCACCTGGTAACTGACACATTTAAATCAAGGATTATCTTCAGTTTCAGATTTCTGATTAAAACTCAATATACAAACATCAGAAATTTAGTTGCTTAATAAATTTTGCTTTATTTTATAGTACATTGCTCACTTTATGGCTTCTTATAGCATCCCTAATTACTCCAAACCACAAGTAGTCTATAAATACCTAATTTACCAAATTTTTAGAATACTCATTTGACAAATATAAGTAAAATAATTGCAATGCCATGTACAATTTTTAGTGATTGTTTTAGAATTTATTATGTGCATCTAAAACAATTCAGTCTATCTTTGAAGAATATTATACCTTATAAATACTTTGCAATAAGAGACTTTCATTTCTCCCATTTTTATGCTATTGTATACATTTACTTCTATATGTTTATAATCCCTACGATAGTTTGTATTATTTTTGCTTTAAATGATCAATTATTTTCAAAAAACATTTTACAATTATTTTCTGTTTGACTACATATATAGTATTTATAGCATTCTTTATTCCTTTGTGTAAATCTCCATTTCCATCTTGTGTAATTTTTCTGCCTGGAGATTTTTTTTTAACATTTCTGTATTACAGAAATATTGGCAGTGAATTCTGTCATCTGGAAAAGTCTTCCATTTCTTTCTTCCTTTTTGAAGGACATTTTTGCATGGAATAGAGTTCTAGTTGACTGTTTTTATTGTTTTCACACATTAAAGATGTCAGTCATTTCATTGTCCCCTTTGTCCACTTAATGTTTCTTCTGCTTGGGTTTATTGATCTGTGAGTTTGTCATTTTCATCACATTTGAATTTTTTAGCCATTATTTCTTCAATGATTTTTCCTGCCACTCCCTTCCCTTTTCTGGACACCAATGACACATATCTTAGATTGCTTGATACTGTCTCAAATCACTCATACACTAAATCTGGTCATTTCTTTTTAGTATTTTTTTCTTATGCTTCATTCTGAATAATTTCTATTGTTATGTCTTCAAGTTTATTGAATTTTTTTTCGGAAGTATCTCATCTACTATTAATGCCGTCCAGTATATTTTTCATTTTAAATATTTTATTTGTCATGTCTAGAGGTTCATTAGGGGGCTTTGGTTGTCTTTCATTTGGCTCCTCGTCATGTGCATGTTTTTCAATACATTCTTTAGCATATGGAGGGTATTTGAACTAGCTTTGTAAAAGTGTGATAATTCCATCATTTTGGTCATTTTTTTGGCCAATTTATAATGATTTTTTTTCTGCATATAAGTGGTTTTATAGAACTTTACAAGATAATAATTATATAAGTGAAATAAGTTCCATGTGCTGTATTGGTGTTTGTTGGTTTGGCATTTGGGCATTTTTTTTAACCTTAAATATACTACTGTTTTTATTTATTATAGGTCTGGCTCCATGCACCATATGAACTTCATCTTTCCTTATTTGAACACTTTATTGAACTGCTCACAGAGTCCAGGTATTAATTAATACCCACGTAGTTAATTATTCAGCTATAGAAAAGGTGATAGTACAGTGTATAAAATCTTCTTTCTCTTATAGTGAAGCCTCAAAGAATGCCAAATTAATGAGAGAATTCCAGTTAATCCCAAAGCTGCTCCTGACTCTTCGAGATATGTCTTTATCCCAGCCTACTATTGCTGCTATTAGTAATGTCCTGAGCTTCTTACTGCAAGGTTTTCCTAGCAGCAATGATCTGCTCAGGTAGGAAAAACTTCTTTGTCTTTGTCTTTTTATTAACTAAAAGTACCAATGAGGTTAAGATGGATGAGATGAATTTAATTGGTTTTTATGACTGTGTAATAACACCTGTAATGTTAATACGATTCAAAATATTTATGACGCATGGAAAACATGAATGAGACAATATCTTGCCTTGATGGAGCAAAGCTAATTGTTGCCACTAGTGAATAGTAGAATATTGGTGAGAAAAGATGTAGGAATTAGCCCAATGAAATTGGCCTGGATATAAAGTATTCAGTCTAGGAATTCTTGGTTCCCAATCCTATTTCCCAAGCCCTGCTAATTTTTAAATGTATGTGCACAAGCACGCATACACACTCCTAAATAGTGGGTGTGCCACCGCTATTTTTTATTCTCTGTCATTCAAACAGATTATGGTATTTTAAATCTGTTGCATATCCACACTTTTTGTATGATATAAGTATTATTTTGCAGACAATGCAAAATGCGGTTTAAGGCATATTGAAGGCATGTCTGTAGAAATGTTCTTATGTTCACATGATAATCCCCATTTTGGAAAATTTGGGGATTATAGAAGGAAAACAAGAAAAACAAACTACACAATTGAATATTTTTCAAGTAGAGAATTGCTTAAACTGGACTTGGTCACTACTGTTCGTTCATGTGATCTACCAAGTATCTCAGGTGAAATCACACCCATTTATTCAGTTATTCTCATGGACTAACCTCTAATCTGTATAGTTTGTAAGTCACTCACTTTTTTATTAATTTGCCTTCAAAACATATTTTTAAACCTGGGGGGCCGGGTGCAGTGGCTCACGCCTATAATCCCAGCACTTTGGGAGGCTGAGGCAGGCGGATCATGAGGTCAGGAGTTCAAGACCAGCCTGCCCAACATGGTGAAACCCCATCTCTACTAAAAATAGGAACAATTAGCCAGGCATGGTGGTGGGCACCTGTAATCCCAGCTACTTGGGAGGCTGAGGCAGGAGAATCACTTGAACCCGGGAGGCGGAGGTTGCAGTGAGCCAAGATCGCACCACTGCACTCCAGCCTGGGTGACAAGGGTGAAACTCCGTCTCAAACAAACAAACAAAAAATCTGGTGGCAGATCTAAAACTTTAGCTTAAGAATTATTTTGGAGAATTAATTATAATTATCATTATGTCAAGAATGTATATTTAAAGCAATTCCTAGCATTGTAATGGTCACTTTGCTGAAATTATTCCCTAAACCTGTAAAAGTTTTTGTTTTTTTCCCTACTTTATAAATGAAGAAACAAAGCCCCAGGTCACGTAATTCGAATGTGATACAGTCAGGATGTTTTTTCTTCTCCTGTTCCCCCTACTCCAGGAATTTAATCATATATGTAAACCCAAGTTCTTAACTGCTAGGCTACAGTGGATCCATCCAGATAATGTTAGGACATTCGAATATGGATCATGTTGTTTGGTTTTTGAAACCATTTGCATGTTAGTGCATTAAAGAATTCATATTTCGAAGAACTGTATTTTCCCCATATTTTAAAAGCATTATTTTATATAATGTTACTTGGGATGGTCCAAGAGGAAGCAAACTAAATATTATCACCTAATGGTCCTTAAAAGGCTAGTTAAGATAAGAAGTACAAAGACATGCCCCCACACTACTCTTATCTTTCTCGCTGGTGGTATGCTGTGAAGGACTGAGTGGGCAACAAGGAAACTAAAATCTCCAGATGATCAGAACATGCATTTCTTTCTGCAAGTGAATAAAATGAAATGAGATTATGAAAAAAAAAAAAAGTACTGTTTTGGTTTTTATTCTTTGTATTTTGTTTCTTTGTACTTTGTTGTTTGTTTTGGGAAGAGGAAAAAGAAAATCCATAATCTTGTTTTCCTTTGTTTAAAGATTTGGGCAGTTTATTTCTTCTACTTTGCCAACCTTTGCGGTTTGTGAGAAATTTGTAGTAATGGAAATAAATAATGAAGAGAAGCTTGACACTGGTAAGTTGATTCTGGAGCTTGGAGAAGATAGTGGTCAACTAAATATTATGCCTTTTTTCTTCTGGCCCAAATTAGACCTGAATTACATGTGATTATATATAATATATGTATAACTTTTCTCCTTACATTACGTTTTTGGCCCTTCTCTGATGTATTTGTCTTATATTAAGCCTATACAGTATTGCCTACAAAATTTAATAGGGTGTGAATTTTACTTCAAAAATAAAATATTTCCTATTTTTAGAGTATTCATAGCAATGTTTCTTTAAATAGCAAACTCTTCCTGTGTGATTTGAACATTATTTGATTTTTTAAATGTATGTATATCTCTTCAGAAACATGATACTTGCTAAACTAAATTATATCCATATATCTGTATTACTATTATTTTCACTTCCCTGTTAAATATTTAGTAGTCACTGAGAAAAATAACATAGTATCACTTTATGTAAGTATAATATAAAAATAATTTCATAAGTTGTAAGTTCCTGGGTCCATGACAAGTACTTTTTTTGGAAACCTTTCCTCATTTAGTACATATATATCCTCCCTCTGTTCCCATATGTTTTTCTTGTTGTATATGCTAGGACAGGAGAGTTGCTTGGAATGCATTGAAAGGACCTTTTTTTAGGTTGACCTCTGGAATTAAATTCTCAGAATCTTATATTTGTTCAGCCTTATTTACATTATTACCCTATTATATTATTCCCAAATCATATCATATAGATTATTTAAGTCCATACAACCCCATCTACCTGGAGGGTGGAGAAGAACTGTTGTAGTATCACTTCCTCCCAAAGGGGTTCTCCATGATGTCTGTCCTTCCCGAGCACAGCCTCTCCTGTGCTTCATGAGTAGGAGAAAGTGGTGTGATTACAATTTTCAAAGGAGAGATGGAGAGATTTGAAAAACTAAGTGACTTGCTGCAAATCACACAGTATGTTAGTGACAGGTTCAGGACCCTGACAGTTACCTACTGCCAATTCATTTAGAATGATGCTGATATTTCTCTGGTGAAGCAAATTAGCAGTGGATGAGAAGTATAAAGATCAGATCAATGAATAACACTTATTGAATACTTACTAAGTGCTCTATATAATTTTGTAATAACCATATGAAATAGGTACTATTATTCCAATTATACAAGGGAGGAAACTGCAGCCCAAAAAGATACAAGTAAAAGAAATTTATCCAATATCATACCATTGACTATATAGGAACCCAGGTAGTCTAAACAAGCATTCTAAGCTTTTAACTACTACATTTTCCTACGAAATGCAAAGATTATTTCTAAGTTCTAAATTAATATAGGCTGACTAATTATAATTAGGTAGTGAAAGTGCTTTAAAGATTGCTGAAATATGTAATGCATTTATTTCAAGTATAAAAAATATGTGGGCTGAACATGGTGGCTTACACCTGTAATCCCAACACTTCGGGAGGCTGAAGCAGGTAAATTGCTTGAGTCCAGGAATTCAAGACCAGACTGGGCAACATGGCAAAGCTCCGTCTCTACAAAAAATACAAAAATTAACCAGGTGTGTTGGTGTGCACCTATAGACCCAGCTACTCAGAAGGCTGCAGTGGGAGGATCACTTGAGCCTGAGGAGGCTGAGGCTGTAGTGAATTGTAATTGTGCCACTGACCTTCAACCTGGGTGACAAGAGTGAGACTCTGTCTCTAAAAACAAACAAAAAAAGGTGGGAAAAATATTTATCTGGTTTCCATATTTATTTGCTGTCCATTGAATTCAGTAACCATAGTAGTGTTGTAAATTTTTCTTTCATATAGAACATTGAAGTAGGGATGTATAAATTAGTAAATTTTTCTTTTGATATGCCAAGTTGATTAGACTGATACTCTCATCAGCTTATTGTCATTTGAAATAATAAAGTCAGAAGCAAATTGCTAGTCTTGTTAGTGTATGACATTTATTATTTATTTGATATGCACTGAAGACTTTATTGAGTATAATGTTCTAAAAAATGAAAACTGTGGCAGTAAGAAAAGGAGACATAAAAGTTAAATAAAATTTTTAATTTCTGTCTAGATTATTACTTTATTGTAGAAAAATTTAAAGGAAGTAGCTCTTAGAGTAAGTTTTGTGATATTCTTTTGATAAGGCAATTTTCAAATTACCAGTCTCTGTCTTCTTAGAAGAGGTGAGGATCTTGGGTTCTTCTTGGTAGCTTGAAGTATCCATAATGATTAAGGTACTAAGTTAGCATTTTAAAGGACAGTTTACAGGTACATTGTTCCAAACAAGTAGAAGTATATAACCATGAAACTTTAGCCTGAGCGTTAGTTCTAGAAAGAAGGAAAGTATAGGAATACCTCAGAAATATTGCAGGTTTAGTTCCACACCACTGCAAATGAAGCTAACATCACAATAAAGTGAGTCACATAAATTTTTTGGTTTCCCAGTGCTGTAAAAGTTATGTTTACACTATACTGTAGTCTACTATCTGTGCAGTAGCATTGTATCTTTTAAAAAATGTATATAACTCGGCCGGGCGCGGTGGCTCACACCTGTAATCCCAGCACTTTGGGAGGCTGAGGAGGGCGGATCATGAGGTCAGGAGTTCGAGACCATCCTGGCTAACATGGTGAAACCCGTCTCTACTAAAAATACAAAAAAATTAGCCAGGCGTGGTGGTGGGCGCCTGTGGTCCCAGCTACTCAGGAGGCTGAGGCAGGAGAATGGCTTGAACCTGGGAGGCAGAGCTTGCAGTGAGCAGAGATCACGCCACTGCACTCCAGCCTGCGTGACAGAGTGAGACTCCGTCTCAAAAAAAAAAAAAGTATATAACTCAGTTTAAAAGTTTTTTATTGCTAAAAAATGATAACAATCATCTGAGCCTTCAGCAAATTGTAATTTTTTCTGGTGGAGGGTGTTTTCTGGATATTGTTGGCTGCTGATTGACCAGGGTGGTGGTTGCTGAAGGTTGAGGTGGCTGTGGCAATTTCTTAAAATAAGACAACAATGGTTTCAGGTGATGGACATGCTAATTATTCTGATTTGGTCATTACATATGGTACACATGTATTGAAATATCATACTGTTCCCCATGAATGCATACAATTATATGTCAATTAAAAAAATAATAAAAGCAGGCCGGGCGCGGTGGCTCATGCCTGTAATCCCAGCACTTTGGGAGGCCAAGGCGGGTGGATCACGAGGTCAGGAGATCGAGACCATCCTGGCTAACATGGTGAAACCCCGTCTCTACTAAAAAAATACACACAAAAAAAATTAGCCGGGCATGGTGGCAGTCACCTGTAGTCCCAGCTACTCGGGAGGCTGAGGCAGGAGAATGGCGTTAACCCAGGAGGCGGAGCTTGCAGTGAGCCGAGATCGCGCCACTGCACTCCAGCCTGGGCGACAGAGTGAGACTTCGTCTCAAAAAAATAATAATAATAATAATAAAAGCAAAAAAAGACAATATAGTTAGCTATAACAATGGACTCTTCCTTTCACAAAAGTTTTCTGTGTGGCATGCGATACTGTTTGATGGCATTTTACCTATGGTAGAACTTCTTTGGAAATTGGAGTCAATCCTTTCAAAAACTGTCACTCCTATATCAATTAAGTTTATGTAATATTCTGAGTCCTTTGTTGTTATTTGAACAATGTTCAAAGCATTTTGACCAGAAGTAGATTCCATCTCAAGAAACCACTTTCTTGTTCATCTGTAAGAAGCAGCTTCTCATCTGTTAAAGTTGTATCATGAGATTGCAGTAATTCAGTCACATCTCTAGGCTTCACTTCTAATTCTAGTTCTCTTGCTGTTTCTACCACATCTGCAGTTACTTCTTCCACTGAAGTCTTGAGCCCCTCAAAGTCATCCATAAGAATTGGAATCAACTTCTTCCAACTCCTGTTAATGTTTATATTTTGACCTCTTCCCATGAATCATGAATATTCTTAATGGCGTCTAAAGTGGTGAATTTTATCCAAAATATTTACTTTATTTTGGCCAGATCCATCAGATAAATCACCATCTATGGCAGCTATAGCCTTAAGAAATGTATTTCTTAAATAATAAAACTTTGAAGTTAATTCAAAGTCAAGATTACTCCTTGATTCATGGGCTACAGAATGGATATATTAGCAAGCATGAAAACAACATTAATTTTTTTGTGCATCTCCATCAGAGCTCTTGGATGGCTAGGTGCATTGTCAGTGAGCTGGTAGTATCTTGAAAGGAACCTTTTTTTCTGAGCAGTAGGTCTGAACAGTGGGCTTAAAATCTTCAGTAAACCGTACTGTAAGCAGATGTGCTGTCATCCAGACTCTGGTATTTCATTTAGCGAGCATAGGCAGAGTAGATTGAGCTTTATTCTTAGGGCCCTAGGATTTTCAAGTTGATCAATGAGCATTGGCTTCCACTTAAAGTCACCAGCTGCATTAGCCTCTAACAAGAGAGTCAGCTCTGTTCTTTGGAGCTTTAAAGCCAGGCATTAACTTCTCCCCTCTAGCTATGAAAGTCCTAGATGGCATCTTCTTCCAATAGGAAGTTGTTGGAAAAAAATCTGTTGAGAAGTCTGTTGGAGAAATCCGTTGTTTAGCGTAGTCACTTTCATTAATTATCTTACTAAATCTTCTGTATAACTTACTGCAGCTTCTACATCAGCACTTGCTGCTTCGTCTTTCACTTTTGTTATGGAGATGGCTTCTTTCCTTAACCCTCATGAACCAACCTCTTCTGGTTCCAGCTTTTCTTTGTTTTTTCTTTTTGTCTATTTGTTTTTGAGACAGGGTCTCACTTTGTCACACATGCTGGAGTGCAGTGGAACAATCATGGCTCACTGCAGCCTCGGCCTCCTGGGCTCCAGCGATCCTCATACATCAGCCTTCTGAGTAGCTGGGACTATAGGTGTGTGCTAACACACCCAGTTCATTTCTTCATTTTTTTAGAGACAGGGTCCAACTATGTTGCCCAGGTTGGTCTCAAACTCCTGTACTCAAGAGATTGTCCCACCTCAGCCTCCCTAATGTTCTGTTACAGTCACGAGCCAGTGCACCTGGCCCCCAACTTTTTTTCTGCAGCTTTCTCAGCTCTCTCAGCCTTCATAGAGTTGAAGAGAGTTCAGGCTTTGCTCAGGATTATGTTTTAGCTTAAGGGAATGTTGTAGATGATTTAGTCTTCTATCTAGACCAGTAAAACTTTCTATCAGCAATAAGGCTGTTTCTTTTCTTTTTTTTTTTTTATCATTGCGTGTTCACTGGAGTAGCACTTTCAGTTTTCTTCAAGAATTTTTTCTTTGTATTCACAACTTAGCTAACTTTTTAGCACAAGAGGCCAGCTTTGGGCTTGTCTGATCTTTCAACATGCCTTCCTCTCTGAACTTAATCATTTCTTGCTTTTGATTTAAAGTGAGAGATACATGAGTCTTTCTTTCGCTTGAACATCTAGGTGCCATTGTAGAGTTATTACTTAGTCTAATTTCGATATTATTGTGACTCAGGGAATAGGGAGGCCTGAGAAGAGTGAGAGAGATGGGTAAATGGCCAGTCGGAGCTGTCAAAACACATTTTTTGACTAAGTTCACTGTCTTATAAGAGTAAGACAGTGGCACTTGTAAACAATTATGATAGTAACATAAAAGATCACAGATGACTGTAACAGATATTACAATAATGAAAAAGTTTGAAACACTGTAAGAATTACCAAAATAAGACAGAGACATGAAGTGAGCACATGCTTTTGAAAAAAAAAAATGGCCTGATTGGACTTGCTGTATGTGTGGTTGCCACAACCCTTTAATTTGTAAGAAACACAGTATCTGCAAAGTGCATTAAAAGGTGTGCCTCTGTGAGGTCTGTGACTCAGTAACTCATAGCTCTGCTGGAGGAGAGCTGGGCCTAGAACTCTGGGTTGTTGATGCCCAGTTCTGTGTACTTGCAGTACTATCTGAGAATGTCTCAGCTCCATTTCTTCGTTTCTTCTCTAATTTCTCCTTTATGCGTTTGTGCGCCTTTGCCTTTCTTCTGTGCTATTTAATTCTAACTTTTCTTTATGTATTACGTTTACTGAATAAGTCTATGCTTCCTATTTTCAATTTTTAAATCTGGTAGAATTAACTGTATCTTTCAAAAAAGAAACTAAGAATTAAGGATTTGAGAGGTTAAGAGTCAGTGGTGATTATTATTTTTATTCACATGGTCCTCATTTGATGACTTTCCCCCTACTGGGAAGGCAAGGGGAATATTAATGTAAAAAATATCTCACAGCCTTATTATCAGTAGTTTAGGAAATGTCAAATGTAAATGAACAATTTTCGGAGTTCTAAAGAGAAATATTTAACTGACCCTTTTTCTTGTCCATGTTGGTGAAAAGCAGTCCTGGAGAAAATGTTTTCTAAAAGATATATTTTTCAGTAAACTTTCCAAGAACTATGTTGTAAATTTTCTTTTAGCTTATCTACTAGGGAGATTTAATGTATTTATTTTTATTTTAGGAACTGAAGAGGAGTTTGGAGGTCTTGTATCAGCTAATCTTATACTTTTGAGGAACAGACTTCTGGATATCTTGCTAAAACTAATTTATACATCTAAAGAAAAGACAAGCATTAATTTGCAGTAAGTAAATCTTTTTTAAAAGTGATTATACCAGTTGCTACTACTAGTTAATTCATGTTAGGCAAAAGAAGGAATTGCCATTGACTTTAAATAGATTTTTTTAACCCTGAAATTTATAGTATCTCCAGAATGAAACTCAGTCTTCTTTTTCCTTTTTGATTTGAAATCCTAATTTCTGAAATTAATTTTGTTTTTTGTTTTTTAAATCCATCTGTCTTGAATAGAGCTTGTGAAGAACTGGTGAAGACACTGGGTTTTGACTGGATCATGATGTTTATGGAGGAACACTTACATTCCACCACAGTTACAGCAGCCATGAGGATTCTTGTTGTCCTACTAAGTAATCAGTCTATTCTCATCAAGTTTAAAGAAGGACTCAGTGGTGGAGGATGGCTTGAACAGACAGATTCTGTCTTAACTAATAAGATTGGAACTGTATTAGGTATGGGACTTTTCTAGTCAGCTGCTTGAAAATGAGCTGGTGTGTTTTGTTTTATTTTAAATTTTATGTAAACTTATCCTCTGCGGTTTGATCACCATTAAGGAGATATTAATTTTAATTAATGATAGAAGGAAGAGCTTACAAGATTTCAAATTAGTCCTTTTAAATGGCAAATCAAACTGAAGACAGAGATAACATACTAAGATTTGAAAACTCAGGGAATTCCTCAAGATCTTTTTGTAGTATAGGCCTTACTGATCTGTAAGTAAATAATTAGCAAATTATCAGTAGTAGAACTAAATTAATAATAATAATAAATATTTATTTTGAGTACTTACTGTGTGCCAGTTCCTAAACACTTGCCAGGCAATAACATTTCATCACAATAACTCTGTGAGGTGCAAATGCTATCATATCTATTTTGCAGATTAGGAAACCAAATTCATTTTATTTAGTTCCAAAGCCTATGCTTTTAACATTTATGTTATATTGCCACACAAGGATTTAAGCTCACTAGTACCATAGCTATTTTCAGCCTATAACTGAGCATTTACCTAATGTTAGAAAATTGCAGTTTACTATGCTAGATTTATTTGAACTCATATGTTTCCATTCATATTAGTAATATTACTTTGGAAAATATATATTTGAAGATACTGTCTTTATTTAAAGGCAAAGTCATTCAGTTAAATAATTTTAAAAATACATTTGTCATGTAACATTGCCTTGTAAATCATATCTAATTGTTTGTGTGTCTGATCTTAAGAAGCTGATATTGAGAATATCTATTTACCTTGGTCCGATGGGAAAAATAGGGATTAGAATTTAATATGTAATTCATTTATAGAAAAAAAGTTTAAGTATCAGTGTCTAGCTGCTGCCTGTACTACTTCTTTAAACATGAAAGCAAATTATAGGAAGACAGATCTTTTTTTTTTTTTTTTTGAGTCGGAGTCTAGCTCTGTCGCCCAGGCTGGAGTGCAGTGGCACGATCTTGGCTCACTGCAAGCTCCACCTTCCGGGTTCATTCTTCCTGCCTCAGCCTCCTGAGTAGCTGGGACTACAGGCGCCTGCCACCACGCCCGGCTAATTTTTTGTATTTTTTTTTTTTTAGTAGAGACGGGGTTTCACCATGTTAGCCAGGATGGTCTCGATCTCCTGACCTCGTGATCCACCCGCCTTCGCCTCCTAAAGTGCTGGGATTACAGGCGTGAGCCACTGCACCCAGCCATAGGAAGACAGGTCTTTCAACATAGTACTATTGTATTGTTATTTCAGATGTGAAGAAGGTCTGAAGAAACTTTGTATGTGATAAAGGAAAAGTAATATCATTTCCATGTCACAGTGAAATGATTTCTAAAGAAAATTGTCTGCTTTATAATATACATTTTAAATGATCATCATGGGTACTTTTGTGCTCAAAAAATAGATCACATTTTACATGAACTCTGGGGAAGGATTTAATCTACAGATATGATTATTTTGAACATTTTGGTAGTAAGAAGTTTCGTTTATTGGCCTTAATAATACCTACTGGAGAATAAATAACGAAAGGCACAACTGAATGTGAGTTCTGTTGAATATGCAAGGTTTAAATGCTAATTGACAGCAATGCTTATTTTGAAGGCCAACAGCAGCAGTAGTAATAACGCCTGAGATTTATAATAGTACATTGTGGTTTGCAAAATTAGTTCACATATATCATCTCATTTGTCCTTCATAATTCTGGAGACAGGCATATATTTTATAGCATATAAGTTTTATTTTCTAGAAAATAAGCCTAATGAATATAAAGTAAGGATTAATTTCTCTAATTAGGAAATTAAGACTGTTAACTACATAAGGTTATTTCGCTAGGCAGTAATACTCTCTAAGAATCTGTCTTTTGTTAGTCCTGTGCTTTTTCTGTCCTGCGTCACTTTAGTAATATTAGAGAGAGGTGCTTTCACTGTGTCTGACCTACCTGATTTCATGCATTAGAATCTTTTTGTCCTTCATTGGTACTTGCATGAGCATGCATATGCTGCTCCTATATCTAGGTATTCAATTTAAATTTAATTTCAATTTGACCCCACTTAACTTAATTTTCCCTGAATATCTATCTGACACATACACATTTTTGTGTATGTAAACAAGTGTACATATCAGCTCATTTGATTCTATTTCTCCTTGATCGGAATGGCAACCTTTTTTTTTTTTACTTTTTTATTCACATTTATTGGTTTTTGTAAAATTTTTCTTTATAAAAATAGATTTTTTAAAATTTTACTTTAATTTCTGGGATACATGTGCAGAACATTCAGGTTTATTATGTATGTATACATGTGCCATGGTGGTTTGCTGCACCTATCAGCCCGTCATCTAGGTTTTAAGCCCCACATGCATTGGGTATTTGTCCTAATTCTCTCCCTCCCCTTAACCCCCACCCTACAACAGACCCCGGTGCATGATGTTCCCCTCCCTGTGTCCATGTGTTCTCATTGTTCAACTCCCACTTATGAGTGAGAACATGCGGTGTTTGGTTTTCTGTTCCTGTGTTAGTTTGCTGAGGATGATGGTTTCCAGCTTTGTCCATGTCCCTGCAAAGGACATGAACTCATTCTTTGTTATGGCTGCCATAAAAATCTTTCATGTAGCTGAAACTTGTATCTAAATTAATGCTTAATCGTGATATATTAAATATTCCTTAAGATTAATTATAGGGGAAAATAATGTGAGAGGAGAGGAAAATGAGAATGCCAGTTTTTTGGTTTTTTTTTAGGACTTGCAATGTAATCAAAATCTATTTTCCTATTTAATGTATAAAATAACCACTTGATGTCTTTTGGTTTCTTTTTCACTTTTTAAATTTTTTTTATTTTTTAGAGATTGGGTCTTGTTATGTGGTCCAGGCTAGACTTAAGCTCCTGGGCTCAAGCAGTCCTCCCATCTCAGCCTCCTGAGTAGCTGAGATGCCTTTTGATTTCTTAGAGCTCAAAACATTGTTTAATCTTACAATTTTATTTAGAATTTCTATAAAGAAAAATCAGCACGATCTCCTAATTAAGCCATTCTAATTAAGCCAATCTTTCAGAAATGTGGCAGTTTCATTAATGAGGGCAAAGAAAACAATAATTTTACAGACTCTAAAATGGAGAAATGAGTTGTCAAATCATAGTGCCTCCACTTATGCCACATTGTGACTTTTTTTTTTATTATTATACTTCAAGTTTTAGGGTACATGTGCACAATGTGCAGGTTAGTTACATATGTATACATGTGACATGCTGGTGTGCTGCACCCACTAATTCGTCATCTAGCATTAGGTATATCTCCCAATGCTATCCCTCCCCCCTCCCCCCACCCCAGAACAGTCCCCAGAGTGTGATGTTCCCCTTCCTATGTCCATGTGTTCTCATTATTCAGTTCCCACCTATGAGTGAGAATATGCAGTGTTTGGTTTTTTGTTCTTGCGATAGTTTACTGAGAATGATGATTTCCAGTTTCATCCATGTCCCTACAAAGGACATGAACTCATCATTTTTTATGGCTGCATAGTATTCTATGGTGTATATGTGCCACATTTTCTTAATCCAGTCTATCATTGTTGGACATTTGGGTTGGTTCCAAGTCTTTGCTATTGTGAATAGTGCCGCAATAAACATATGTGTGCATGTGTCTTTATAGCAGCATGATTTATATTCCTTTGGGTATATACCCAGTAATGGGATGGCCGGGTCAAATGGTATTTCTAGTTCTAGATCCCTGAGGAATCACCACACTGACTTCCACAATGGTTGAACTAGTTTACAGTCCCACCAACAGTGTAAAAGTGTTCCTATTTCTCCACGTCCTCTCCAGCACCTGTTGTTTCCTGACTTTTTAATGATTGCCATTCTAACTGGTGTGAGATGATATCTCATTGTGGTTTTGATTTGCATTTCTCTGATGGCCAGTGATGGTGAGCATTTTTTCATGTGATTTTTGGCTGCATAAATGCCTTCTTTTGAGAAGTGTCTGTTCATGTCCTTTGCCCACTTTTTGATGGGGTTGTTTGTTTTTTTCTTGTAAATTTGTTTGAGTTCGTTGTAGATTCTGGATATTAGCCCTTAGTCAGATGAGTAGGTTGTGAAAATTTTCTCCCATTTTGTGGGTTGCCTGTTCATTCTGATGGTAGTTTCCTTTGCTGTGCAGAAGCTCTTTAGTTTAATTAGATCCCATTTGTCAATTTTGGCTTTTGTTGCCATTGCTTTTGGTGTTTTAGACATGAAGTCATAATGGTAAAGGGATCAATTCAACAAGAAGAGCTAACTATCCTAAATATATATGCACCCAATACAGGAGCACCCAGATTCATAAAGCAAGTCCTGAGTGACCTACAAAGAGACTTAGACTCCCACACATTTATAATGGGAGACTTTAACACCCCACTGTCAACATTAGACAGATCAAGGAGACAGGAAGTCAACAAGGATACCCAGGAATTGAACTCAGCTCTGCACCAAGCAGACCTAATAGACATCTACAGAACTCTCCACCCCAAATCAACAGAATATACATTTTTTTCAGCAACACACCACACCTATTCCAAAATTGACCACATAGTTGGAAGTAAAGCTGTCCTCAGCAAATGTAAAAGAACAGAAATTATAACAAACTATCTCTCAGACCACAGTGCAATCAAACTAGAACTCAGGATTAAGAAACTCACTCAAAACCGCTCAACTACATGGAAACTGAACAACCTGCTCCTGAATGACTACTGTGTACATAACGAAATGAAGGCAGAAATAAACATGTTCTTTGAAACCAACGAGAACAAAGACACAACATACCAGAATCTCTGGGACACATTCAAAGCAGTGTGTAGAGGGAAATTTATAGCACTAAATGCCCACAAGAGAAAGCAGGAAAGATCCAAAATTGACACCCTAACATCACAATTAAAAGAACTAGAAAAGCAAGAGCAAACACATTCAAAAGCTAGCAGAAGGCAAGAAATAACTAAAATCAGAGCAGAACTGAAGGAAATAGAGACACAAAAAACCCTTCAAAAAATTAATGAATCCAGGAGCTGGTTTTTTGAAAGGATCAACAAAATTGATAGACCGCTAGCAAGACTAATAAAGAAAAAAAGAGAGAAGAATCAAATAGATGCAATAAAAAATGATAAAGGGGATATCACCACCAATCCCACAGAAATACAAGCTACCATCAGAGAATACTACAAACAACCTCTACACAAATAAACTAGAAAATCTAGAAGAAATGGATAAATTCCTTGACACATACACTCTCCCAAGACTAAACCAGGAAAAAGTTGAATCTCTGAATAGACCAATAACAGGATCTGAAATTGTGGCAATAATCAATAGCTTACCAACCAAAAAGAGTCCAGGACCAGATGGATTCACAGCTGAATTCTACCAGAGGTACAAGGAGGAGCTGGTACCATTCCTTCTGAAACTATTCCAATCAATAGAAAAAGAGGGAATCCTCCCTAACTCATTTTATGAGGCCAGCATCATCCTGATACCAAAGCCGGGCAGAGACACAACCAAAAAAGAGAACTTTAGACCAATATCCTTGATGAACATTGATGCAAAAATCCTCAATAAAATACTGGCAAACCGAATCCAGCAGCACATCAAAAAGCTTATCCACCATGATCAGGTGGGCTTCATCCCTGGGATGCAAGGCTGGTTCAATATATGCAAATCAATAAATGTCATCCAGCATATAAACAGAACCAAAGACAAAAACCACATGATTATCTCAATAGATGCAGAAAAAGCCTTTGACAAAATTCAACAACCCTTCAGGCTAAAAACTCTCAATAAATTAGGTGTTGATGGGACGTATCTCAAAATAATAAGAGCTATCTATGACAAACCCACAGCCAATATCATACTGAATGGGCAAAAACTGGAAGCATTCCCTTTGAAAACTGGCACAAGACAGGGATGCCCTCTCTCACCACTCCTATTCAACATAGTGTTGGAAGTTCTGGCCAGGGCAATTAGGCAGGAGAAGGAAATAAAGGTATTCAATTAGGAAAAGAGGAAGTCAAATTGTCCCTGTTTGCAGACGACATGATTGTATATCTAGAAAACCCCATTGTCTCAGCCCAAAATCTCCTTAAGCTGATAAGCAACTTCAGCAAAGTCTCAGGATACAAAATCAATGTACAAAAATCACAAGCATTCTTATACACCAATAACAGACAAACAGAGAGCCAAATCATGAGTGAACTCCCATTCACAATTGCTTCAAAGAGAATAAAATACCTAGGAATCCACCTTACAAGGGATGTGAAGGACCTCTTCAAGGAGAACTACAAACCACTGCTCAAGGAAATAAAAGAGGATACAAACAAATGGAAGAACATTCCATGCTCATGGGTAGGAAGAATCAATATCATGAAAATGGTCATACTGCCCAAGGTAATTTATCGATTCAATGCCATCCCCATCAAGCTACCAATGGCTTTCTTCACAGAATTGGAAAAAACTACTTTAAAATTCATATGGAACCAAAAAAGAGCCCGCATCCCCAAGTCAATCCTAAGCCAAAAGAACAAAGCTGGAGGCATCACCCTACCTGATTTCAAACTCTACTGCAAGGCTACAGTAACCAAAACAGCAAGGTACTGGTGCCAAAACAGAGATATAGATCAATGGAACAGAACACAGCCCTCAGAAATAACGCCGCATATCTACAACTATCTGATCTTTGACAAACCTGAGAAAAACAAGCAATGGGGAAAGGATTCCCTGTTCAATAAATGGTGCTGGGAAAACTGCCTAGCCATATGTAGAAAGCTGAAACTGGATCCCTTGCTTACACCTTATACAAAAATCAATTCAAGATGGATTAAAGACTTAAACGTTAGACCTAAAACCATAAAAACCCTAGGAGAAAACCTAGGCATTACCATTCAGGACATAGGCACGGGCAAGGACTTCATGTCTAAAACACATTGTGACTTTGAACAAATCATGTTTTCTATGTTGTAAAAATGATAATAGTAATTTCTGCCTCACATGTTCATTGTGATTAAGGAATGATATGGGAAAGAGTTTTTTAAATTGCTATATAATTTTTTTATTAATTAGAAGAGCATACTTTGGAGTTAATCACGTCACACTGAGGAATTGGTTAGGATAAAATATTTTGAAAGCAACCTAGACATAAATTTTTCCTTTATTATATAAAATAGCAGTTGTAATATGTACTTTGCTGCACTCCAGAAAAAAAGAAGTTGAAAAAAATATGGATATCTTTGCTGAGTGCAGTCTCTCATGCCTGTAATCTTAGTGCTTTGGGAGGCTAAGACGGGAGCATCATTTGACACTAGGAGTTTGAGACCAGCCTGAGCAACATAGCAAGACCTTGTCTCTACCAAAAAATTTTTTTAATTAGCCAGGCATGGTTGCATGTGCCTGTAGTGCTAGCTACTGGGGAAGCTGAGGCGGGAGGATCCTTTGAGTCCAGGAGTTTGAGGTTAAGTGAGCTACGATCATGCCACTGTACTCCAGCCTGGGCAACAGAGTGAACCCTCAGATCTTAAAGAATAAATAATAAATGCAAATATCTATTTGAAATACAAATTGCTTCAGACCGAAATCAGTTCCTCATCTATTAGTTGCTATTCACAAAAGTTTCCATTGAAAATTTGACAAACATTCACTGTGTACTGAGTACTTCCCTAGGTATGAGGTGAACCACATGCTTAGGGTGTATCCTGAGTTTCATTATAAAACAGAGGAAACAAGATTGATGGAAACACTGATGCCATAAGCTACATTAGTAAGAACTGATTATCTCCTTAAAAAGCTGGGTTTCTAGAGGGAATTCTGGATGTTAAGTTCAGCCAGTGGATAGCTGCAGCCACAACGGGCTTGGATTTACCATCCCACTGCCCAGCAGCTTTCCAACAGATTACAGATCATGTTGTGAGTAAAGATTGTTTTACTTACTCATTTAGTCTTGTCTCTAAATTCATAGGTAATTTAAGGTTAACTAGTTTTTCATGATTTTCAGGACAATGAAATATATTAACTACATTATAGCAAGTTACAAAAATTAGCTGGGGGTGGTAGCTCATGTCTGTAGTCCCAGCTACTCAGGAGGCTGAGGTGGGAGGACTGCTTTGACCCTAGGAGGTGGAGATTGCAGTGAGCCAATATCATGGCACTGCACTCCAGCCTGGGCAACAAAGCAAAACTGTGTCTCAAAAAAATAAAAATATATCATAACAAGGATATTTTTAAGTTATGTTTTTGTAGCATTCTAAATTTTGGCTGTATTTTGGATTTCACTTTTTTCTTAGGGAACTACAAGAACACTAGAGCTCTTCTGAGGTCTTTCATTTAATAAGTAGAACTTACAGCACCTTAAGAAGGATTTTCAAACTCCCTTGTATCTTATTGTCTCAACTGTGTTTCAAAACCTATATCCTAATAGACAGGTTTGCTAAAGTCAAACAAATTGTAAAGTAAAACTTTTAACTGAAGATTAATTCAACAGTTGAATACTTAATTGCCTATAGTAGTATGAATGTTCTGGATAGAAATGTTAACACATACTGAATTACTTCCTTCTTTGTTAATGCAGCATGTTTATCAGTTGCTGATTTTGCACTTACTGTTATATTCCTCTTCTCTTAGGATTCAACGTGGGCAGAAGTGCTGGTGGGAGATCGACGGTCAGGGAGATTAACCGAGATGCTTGTCATTTTCCTGGTTTTCCAGTCCTTCAGTCATTCCTTCCTAAACACACTAATGTCCCTGCCCTCTATTTTCTCCTCATGGCCTTGTTTCTGCAGCAGCCAGTTAGTGAGCTGCCTGAGAACCTGCAGGTCAGTGTGCCTGTCATCAGCTGCCGGAGTAAGCAGGGTTGCCAGGTAGGAATTATCTAGCAAGGGGTGCGTGAAATTACGTATTCCAAAGAATCACCGTAGGATAATGGATAATCACTGTAAAACCAACTGTCAATTCCATCACTTTCCCCACATTTAAGGTTTGATTTGGGACAGAAAAATCTGAAAATACCACAGAAAATTTTCCCAAAAAGTCCTTTGTCCCTATTTACAATTTTTTCCTATATGATAACTCTGTATATTATAGATGCATAAAGACTCTGGATGATATTTAATGGTGATCTAAAGAACTCTTTTGTTATATGATTTATTTTATTTTATTTTATTTTATTTTATTTTATTTTATTTTATTTTATTTTATTTGTGAGACAGAGTCTTACTCTGTCACCCAGGCTAGAGTGCAGTGGCATGATCTCAGCTGATTGAAAATTCCACCTCCCGGGTTCAAGCGATTCTCCCACCTCAGTCTCCTGAGTAGCTGAAACTACAGTCAGGCGCTACCCCGCTGGGCTAATTTTTGTATTTTTAGTAGAGACAGGGTCTCACCATGTTGGCCTAGCTGGTCTTGAACTCCTGACCTCAGGTGATCCACCTGCCTCAGCCTCCCAAAGTGCTGGGATTACAGGCGCGAGCCACTGTGTCCAGCCTGTCATGTGATTGATTTCTGCAGAATTAAAAATGAAAGGAGTGGCTTATATACCATAAATTAAATATCACTCCTCGAGTGGGTATGACAGGATTCTCAGTGCAAATTCGGATTAGGAAAAAAAAATTACTTAATGATAGATAGCATCCACATTGGGAAAATAGTAAGACTTTACTTGACTTCTAATTGAAGACTGTTAAAGATGTCTGTATATAGCTTATGTTTGTGGCACTGTAGGAATTTAGCTTTTAGACTCAACTACACTTCCATCCTAATGCCAAATGCTATTCAAATCAATTCTAGTAGTTGACAAAATCTTTTAAGTGTAAACACTTGAGTCTGTGCCCTTAGATTAAATTAAGATACAGATTCATGCCTAGCACAGTTGTATTGGTTATGCAATTTTTCAATATCCATGGTGCCATAGTCATAAAGTTTATATATAAAACTGCTATTAATAAGTCTTAAATTAATTTTATTTTATCAGATTTATCTGTAAGTAATCTAAAATTAAAATACTGCTGAGAATGGGAAAGAAGTGAGCTTAATGTGCTTTGTTTAAAAGATCTTGCTTAAATTTATTTGTTCTATAATTTTATCTCTTGGCTAATTAACATGTATTTTATTTTTATATTCTTTAGGAAAAAGGTAGAAAGCAATGTTTTTAACATAGGTACCTAAGGCAGAATGCAGAATGATACACAGTATTCAATTTTTTATATCTATAAAAATGAGTTTTAAAATGTAGGATGGAAGGGTACTAGTTCTTTATGTCTATATCATTGGTTACTTTTAAAAACAACAAAAAACTAGTTTCAAAGAAATTTTAGCCTATTAGAACTTATGAGGGTCTCTACTGAAAAATTAGTGGTGGCTAATATTTGCTCCCTTTCACCTCTGCAGTTTGATTTGGATTCCATTTGGACATTCATCTTTGGAGTTCCTGCCTCCAGCGGAACTGTGGTCTCTTCTATCCATAACGTATGCACAGAAGCTGTTTTTTTATTATTGGGAATGCTCCGCAGCATGCTGACTTCAGTAAGTTCACTCAAATGCCCAGGCCTATTGAGAATTCCTCCTGCCTAGGATACTTTTTTGTAAATAGAGGAATTTTTTGGTAACATAACTACTTTATTTACTGCATGATCTCTGGAACTTCAGACTCTTATGTTAGACAAAATTATATCTAACGTAAGAACAGACTGTGTAGTTGTTAAGACCGTGCACTCTGGAGCCCTACCTGGGTTAAAATCTCACCTCTGGTACTTCCAATCTATTATCCTCAGTTATGTGCCTCAGTTTCCTGGTGTTTAAAATGCCGACAATAATAGCATGCATCTCTTAGGGTATTTGTGAGGAATTAATAAGATAGTGTATACACATAAAGCACTTATAAACATGGCTGATACATAATAAGTGCTTCGTAAGTATTAACTTATTAATGTAATAAAATATATAATAATGAGTACATATATAATGAGTACATATTTGTAGTATATGTTATTACAATAATATGTTATTTCAACTTTTAAAGTCACTTTCATTTAGAGGTCAGAAATGTTAACAATACAAGTTTCATTTGATTTTGTTTTTGCTTTTGTTCTGCTCTAATTATGTCTAACTTAGAGATGAAGAATTGAAAGAGTAAAAGACAGAACTGATGTTCCTGTTGATCTGACAGGAATACTGTGAATAATGACCAGATTTGTTTATACAATTTAGGATTGTGTTGTAACAGGAAATATTAACTTGACTCCTTGAATTACATGTACCTGACAAATCTAATTTCAGTCAAAACTATTGTTGTATCATCTAAGAACAGAACATTACCATTAAATGTATTAATTTAGAATGTTTTAGGAGTCTCGTTTTGGTGCCTATTCATAAACAACTATAAAGACATAAGAAAAGTTTTTTAAAAGATACTCTCTGGGCAGGTATCAGAAGATATACATTGTTCAAATATACAGTATTCATTTTTTTATCATCATCATTGTTGTATTACATAATGCTTAAGAGTGAGGCTCAGAAAGGTGAAGTAACTTCCCTACCTTTTATCTTACTCCTAACTTAGCATGATGCACGATGGGGCAACATTAATGGTAATACAGCCACTTTGGTACCACCAACACTCATGGTAATAATAATGAATAATCAAAACCACTGATTCTAGTTAGCAGACCTGCGATTAATCTAATGATTAGACAATGATCCTATCAGTTTCTAAGGGGATTTTTTGTTTTAGCTAGTTTCTAAATTTCTTTGCATGTGTGTATACATGTGTGTTTGCTCATATGTGTGGTTTACAGAGTTCTGGACCATCAATATATCCAGTTTCATAAGAATACTGAGTAATGGATTTTTAAAATAATTTATAGCAGTGTCAATAACTGTAACATAGTGTTTCCTCTCATGTCCCCATAACAGCCTTGGCAATCAGAAGAAGAGGGATCTTGGCTCCGAGAATATCCTGTGACCCTGATGCAGTTCTTCAGATATTTGTATCACAACGTGCCAGACCTTGCCTCCATGTGGATGAGCCCTGACTTCCTGTGTGCATTAGCAGCCACCGTCTTCCCCTTCAATATTCGCCCTTACTCAGAGATGGTAGGAAAGGGGGAGGAAAATGTCAGAACTGGAATTAGAATGTCAGAACTGGAATTAGTCTGTTTCAATGGTTAGCAGATTTTTTTTGACAGTCTTTTAAGTTTCTGACCAAGTTACAGTTTCATAACTTTATACATCACCTCTTGCATTATTGTCCGGTGTCCCCAGCTCCCCACAGTTTCCTTCTGCTTTCTCCTAAAATCACAGTGAACTCTACTTCCTTTTCTCATTCACCATATTCTTGTAAGTCCCTTGTTAGTAATTTCCCTTTTCAAGTAGTTGATTCATTTATTTTACGCGATGCCAGCTGTGTAGTTGTAAAATGTTCTTTTCCATTAAGATAACTCTAGTCTGACCAAATTTATTTATTTTTTATTTTAGGAAGTAGGTATTTGCTGGATTTAACTTTTGCCAATAAATTATAGGGTTGAAAGCAAATGTTGGTCCTTTCTTCCGCCTGACTTTTCTTTTTTCATTAAAGTTTTATTTTGCTTATTTTGTACTAACTTAAAAACTATTAGATTATAATCACATATAGTATAGATACTCTTTTGTTCTTTAAAATAAGCCCAAAAATGCTGCCTGGTTTCCTGCTTTGAAAATGTATTCACGTGGAAATTCACTGAAGCACATTTTTGCAGAGGGCTTGCAGGATAGTTTCATAACTTTAGAGTCTAAATACTATTCATTACAGTAACTAATAGTTCAGTTGACATAAATATTGGTGACTTTTCAAAACGAATGAACTACTGTAGTTTACACAAAACCATATAGCAGGGGCTTATCACTTACTTTTGCACGTTGATGTTGATTAGCTAATAAACTGTAAACATAAAACAGGTTTAAAAATAAATAGATAAAACACACCCAAAAGATAGTTATTCCTCCATAGTACTTCAAAATTTCATGATGTTTCTTCATATTTCCACCATATACTCTAGGACCTGGGATAAATGACCTTCTTTATACTAATTTTTCTCCATGTATAAAGGTACAATACTTATTCTAAAATGGTGGGGATTTTTAGGAGAAAGGCAAATGTGACACATGACCTTAATACCTTGGCTTGTTTATAATTTTAGAATCCTTATTTTTGGTTTAAAAAAAAAAGACCTTCAATAATATATCAATATCTTTTCCTTGTCAGCATCTTTTTTTTTTTTTTTGAGACGGGGTTTCGCTCTTGTCATCCCGGCTGGAGTGCAATGGTGGCACGATCTCGGCTCACTGCAACCTCCACGTCCCAAGTTCAAGCGATTCTCCTGTGATTCTACTGCCTCACCCTCCTGAGTAGCTGAGATTACAGGCATGGACCACTACGCCTGGCCAATTTTTTTGTATTTTTAATAGAGATGGGGTTTCGCCATGTTGGCCAGGCTAGTCTCGAACTCCTGATCTCAGGTGATCTGCCTATGTCGGCCTCCCAAAGTGCTGGGATTACAGGCGTGAGCCACTGTGCCTGGCCATCAGCATCTTATAATTTGTTTGCTAGTCTCGCTCTGTCACTTGGTTCAAAATTGGCACCAATATTGTTGTTTTTTTTTTAAATTTATTTGGGGTTTTTTTAACCTATAATAAATGGATCACCCCTTACATGCTACCATTATGCCAGATTTTTATGTGAAATTCTGTGACATTTGACTTCACAGTAGGGGTAGAGTTCAAATATGGAAACATATTTATTCTAATTTTATTATTCCATATATTTTAAGTGCAGTTAGCCACAATAGACATACAATTCAACTTAAAGGTGACGTATTGTTAGTGGTCAGTCAGAAACACCATATGTTGCGTAACCATGACATATGGTGCCAGATTACTACCTTGAAAGGAAGGGTCGAGTAAAGCAGAGTGAAATAATGTGCTGAATAGCTTAATAGGTGGAAAATGCTGCTGCTCCAGTTTTATTTTTAGGAAACACAGAAGTAAAAATGTCAGAGTCTAATGTGATTACCGTATCTTTCCACTTGATTTTACTAGGTGACTGACCTTGATGATGAAGTTGGATCTCCAGCAGAAGAGTTTAAAGCGTTTGCAGCAGACACAGGGATGAACAGGAGCCAATCAGAGTACTGCAATGTGGGCACCAAGACATATCTGACCAATCACCCGGCTAAAAAGTTCGTTTTTGACTTCATGCGGGTCTTAATCATAGACAACCTCTGTCTCACTCCTGCCAGCAAGCAAACTCCACTAATTGATCTTTTGTTGGAGGTAAAGAAAAAGAAACGCATTTACATCTCTTTTGCATTACTTTTTAAATTAGAACATTAGTAACCAAACAAGTTCTATAACAAGGATTTCTAATTCCTCTTGTTTATGTGTAGGCAGAACATGTTATAGGCTGTGGAAAGTTCTTAATCCCACATGTGCTTTAAACCCTATCAGTTTGTTCTTTTCCTTCCCTCAAGGATGTCTCTAATTCAGTCCTTTATCATCCTTTCTCTAAGAGCTGGCGAACTTCTTCTGTAAAAAGCCAAATAGTAAATATTTTAAGCTTGTGGGCCATACGGTCTCTGTCACATCTGTTCAAGTATGTTGTAGCTAGAAAGCAGCCATGGACAATACGTAAGAGAATGAGCATGGCAGTGTTCTGATAAAACTTTATCTACAGAAACAGCACAGGCTGGATTTGGCCCACAGGCCATAGTGTGCCAACCCCTTCCCTGGACATTAACAGTGCCTAGTGGCATTGTCTTCTTACCTTATAATTTCCTACATCAATTTCTCTTACCTGTCATTGCCAGGTATTACTGTTGTCAGTGTCCTGTGCAACTTAAGACATGGTGCATTGTACAGAACAGGTGCCCAGGATGTACTTGTTAAATTCCCCAAGGCAGCAAACTTCTAGGTTGGCTGCCTGCCCATTCTCCTGACAATTGATATGAATCAACTGATGCATCAGAAAATGAGAGTGGCTCTAAGCCTTTAAGTGACCTCATTGCTGCCTCTAGAAATTAGCTATCCCAGAAAAGCATTAAAAAATGTTTACCTAGAAAAGTCTGAAGATATCACAGAGAGAAAATTTAATACAATGTAATTAGTTGCATATACATTAATGTTCTTTTGACCAATTCATATAAATAAGGTCAAACAGTCCATGCCAGGGGCTCTGAAAATAACATGTTTTATGAAAGAGTAAATCTGTGGAGAAGACTGCTTTTCTCCCTGAGGAACTGCACTGTCTCTCAGCAGTTTGACAGCTGAACCTGAGATTTTTTTTTTTTGTGCTCCC
The DNA here is from genome assembly GCF_000001405.40 of Homo sapiens. NCBI lineage: Eukaryota > Metazoa > Chordata > Mammalia > Primates > Hominidae > Homo > Homo sapiens. The sequence continues at coordinate 84,750,461 of NC_000004.12, read as the reverse complement.
TCTAGTGGCTAGTACAGTTAACTTATAAATAGAAACCTGAAAACCACATGTTTATCTTATTCATGCGAAAGTATCTCAATTTGGTCAATTTTTTTTAAAATCACTAATGTAATTAGGGTACCAGTTATGCTAAGCATTTAACCAGGATGACAGTGTTTAATAATGGCAGGAGAATAATTGGTTTCCTCACTAATGCATGTGGTAGAATTAAAAAGCAGGCCCAATGGAACGTCTCCCCTTTGGAAACTTTAAAAAGCTCTAAGAGAGATGACCAGTATCTTACTGTATAGGGTAAAAATTTGAAGCATTTTATGAAAAAGTGAAATAGTTTATTGGAAAATAATAGGATAAAGTCCAGAAGAGATGTGTGCAAGAAAGCATAACTGATCAAAAAAGGAAAATACATACATGAAAGATATGGAATGACTGGAAACATACAGTGATAGCATTTTCAAGCTTCTGGTACCTGAATAGCTAATTAATTACCCATATTTAAATTGTATAATTGCCCTTTATTTTTGTTTTCTATATTTTTTAGTAGGAAGAATTTGATATATAATAACATGTATTAACCTTGAAGTAAGGTTCTCTTTGTTGTGGGCATGAATTTGCCCTACGGTAGAATAGTGCTTCAATATACTAGCGAGTAGGAGTACAGTTCAGGGAAAAGCAGGGGGTGTCAGGATTGAAGCTTCCAGATAGATTATAAACTGCTTAGAGAACAACTTTCATGTGTTCCTTCATCTCTCACAACTTTTAGCACAGTGCCTTGGTGTATTCTGTCAGTACAGTAAGTCCTCACTTAACGTCATTGATAAGTTCTTGGTAGCTGCAACTTTAAGCAAAATGATGTGTAACAAAACTAAATTTTTTTCCTCGTCAACCTTATAATAAAACTAGGTTGAAGGAAATGATGTTATTTGAGGACCTGCTGTACATTGTTTCACTTAAAGTTGCAGTTGCCAGGAGCCTGTCAATGACATTAAGTAAGGCTTAGTGTATTTTTGAATCATTTAACTATTAACTTCATCCCTGGAAATTCCCAAACAGGAAGATAGGATACTATCTAATAAAGAACATAGAAATTTACTTTTAAATATTTTGAGTATCTTTAATATACATATGCAGAATACATATACAAAAAAAATTATATTAATGAAATATTAACATTCTATGTCTTCCAATGGTGTAACAGAATAAATTATAAACATATGATTTTGAAAATTATGATTATGAAGTCTTTATCCATGAAGAGATTCAAGAAGAAAATTAGGTTGAGCATGGTGGCTCATGCCTGTAATCCCAACACTTTCTTTGGGAGGTCAAGGCAGAAGGATTGCTTAAAGTTAGGAGTTCAAGACCAACCCGGGCAACAGGTGAAATCCCATCTTTACAAAAAAATTAGCCATAGCCAGTGTTGTGGTGCGTGCCTGTATCCTACCTACTGGAGGCTAAGGTGGAAGGATCGCTTGAGCCCAGGTGTTCAAAGTTGCAGTGAGCCGTAATTACACCACTGCATTCCAATGCATTCCAGCCTGGGTGTCAGAGTGAGACCCTGTCTCAAAAAAAAAAAAAGAGAGAGAGAATTATCTTACATATTTACCATTTACCTTTGTGAAGGAAGGGGCTTGAACATCTGAGTCCAGTAAATGTGAACCAGAGCATCTTCAGTCCTATGAGTGTTAGAATTTCATCATAAAAGTATCTACTTACTTGATTATACCTACAAAAGAACATGTAAAATTATCTTCATTAGCAGTAAAATTCATTAGCATAAAAGTAGGAGATTCCCATTCATATAGACTGGCTTTAGTGTGACTGAGGCCAAATACAAGGGAAGTAGTGTGGTGTGGCAGAAAGCTAGAGCATGGGTTTGAGAGTAAGAAGTGCCTGGGTTTAAATTCTGGCCCTGTTGTTTATTATATAAGCATTTTCATCTTCCCAAGCTAAATTCATTCTCTAGAGAATGATATTATTTACCATCTCTCTTACAAGATTATTGTGAGGATTAAATATATGTACATCACCCAACAAAAAGTATTCTGAGGAATTACATGTGTGCTGGATATAGCTGTGTGGCCTTGACCAAGTTCAATTCTCTTCACATCTATACAATTTACACATCTGTAAAATGATATAAAAGTGAACCTCTCTCTGAGAATTATTGTGAAAACTAAATAAGATTTAATATTCATAACACAGTGCCCAACACTTAAACATACTCAAAAAATTGACTACGTGGCCTGTGTTGGCTTCTACAAGGGTGCCTGGAGACTCTTCTCCTAGCTCCTGTTTATCAGTGCCCTGTGCTGTCACCACCAGACTTCTCATGAAGAGCCAAATGAATTTGCTGCAAATAAATACCGTGGCAATGGGAAGAAAGTGCATGAGAACAGCTCAAACAGATTTGTGTATACCTGGAGGTAAAGATAATGAAACTGAGAGGGTGCTGACTTGGAGTGCGTGTTAGTCCAAGCTCACACTACTAATAAAGACATACCCGAGACTGGGTATGTCTTCATAAAGGAAAATTTATAAAAATTTTCCTTTATATAAATTTTATAAATTTATAAAAATAAAAATTTATAAAGGAAAGAGGTTTAATTGACTCATAATTCAGCATGGCTGGGGATGCCTCAGGAAACTTACAGTCATGGCAGAAGGGGAAGCAAACACATCCATCTTCACATGGTGGCAGCAAGGACAAGTGCAGAATGAAGTAGGGGAAAACCCCCTTATAAAACCATCAGATCTCATGAGAACTCACTCACTATCACAAGAACAGCATGAGAGTAACCACCCCCATGATTTAATTACCTTCCACTGTGTCCCTCTCATGACTTGTGGGGATTATGGGAGCTACAATTCAAGATGAGATTTGGTAGGGGATACAGCCAACATAAGCACATTGCTATGGTCTGAGGAGTTCACTGGACTCTATGCCAACCATCTTCTACAAGAGCTCCCCATTGTCATACATCAGAGTGAAACCCACCCTGAGGAACTACAGGGAAACAAGCAAAAAACAATGGCAAATTGGGCAAAGAGAGCACCACAAAGTAACTCAGAGAGGAAAAATCAGTCAACAGGCAGACTACAGTCAGAATCAGGAGTCTCAAAATCCTATCTTTAAAGGCTTCCAGCCCATTACAGAAACAGGACAGAATTCCAAAGGCCTTCCTTCCATAGCCACTGTGCTGTCTACCCATGGGCAGCAGATGCGTAAGGGCTGTCTGGCCTGTGTGTGGGACACAAAGATCCTGGGTAGTGTCCCCAAGACCTTAAAAAGGAGACTGATGGATATGTTGACTGGCTTTGCTGTTTTCACCAGGAAAACAGATCTGACCACCAGAGTCCAGAGCAGATCACCGTGCCTGTCCTGCCTTCATTCTGGTTGTCTGGTGGGCCAACCAGTCTTATCTAAAAGAGTGATGAAGAGATTGTAGCCCACACTTTGCAGATTTGCTCTTGTGCTTTTAACTTTCATAAGGAGATTTTAGTAGAGTGGGGAGAGTATGACATAACTGGTGAAGCCATGGGCTTTGGCTTCACAGAAACTGAGATTTGAATCCTAGTTGTGACTTGACCAAGTGACTTACTCTCTCTAAGCCTCAATTATTTCTAAAATGGGGATGTTAGTATCTATTTCAAGGGTATTTTCCTGACTATATGAGATAATGTATATATATAAGCCCTGTGTCTGGCACAAAACAGTAGTCCAGTGAATTGTTTAAAAAGAAAAAGAACACCTCCGAGACAATAATGCATGCTTTCATAAAATGTTAAGTCCTTGAAAAGTTAGACTGCTATACATCTCAGTAAGAACATCAAACTAGGCCACTAGGACCAGTAACAAGTGTAAATTCTGGGTCCTCATCATTCGTGTAACAGTTTTATTGAGATGAATCAGAAGATTAAATGCCTGTTGATGACTGAGCCAGTGTTAAATCCTTCTGGAATAAGAAAGAATATTATTTTAATAAAAATAAATGTTATTCACCAAGCATTTCTGTACGTTTAATAGTCCCTTTGTTTTACAGACTTCAAAACTTTTTCTAGTTAAGATTTGATAAGCCCTACTCATTACTAATCTCATTAACCACCTTGAGTTGATTATGAACCTGAAAGAGTAGCTTTCTTTTTTTAAGACAGGATCTTGGTCTGTTGCATAGTCTGGAATGCAGTGGCACAGTCATGGCTCATTGCATCCTTGACCTGCTGAGGTCAATCAATCCTCCCAACTCAGCCTCCCAAGTAGCTATGACTACCGGCACACACCACCATGCCAGAGATTTTTTTTTTTTTTTTTTTTTTTTGGTAGAGACAGGGTTTTGCCATGTTCCCCAGGCTGGTCTTGAACTCCTGCGTTCAAGTAATCCACCTGCCTTAGCCTCCCAAAATACTGGGATTATAGGCATGAGCCACCGTGCCCAACCAGGAGTACCATTTTTTTCAAAATGTTTATGTCCTTCTGTGACTGGACAGCTTTATTCCTTAGCAAATTATGATGACTCAAGCTATTGGAAAAAATGGTCTCTGATATAAGGAAAGCCTCCTGGAACTATCAGTCTGCTGTTAATCACTTAAAAGTCCTCACATCCTCTTCAGTTTATAGGGATAAGACTCCCAATGTAGTATCGGCTTGAAAGGACTAGACAGGCCTTGGTCACAAGTCTCCTGCTCGCTATTGTATTAATCTGTTCAAATACACAGGAAAATTTATAAAGATAAAAACATGAGATGTTCTTCACTTTTTCCCAAATTAGTTTAATGACAAACCAAACTCCTAAGCACTGGTATTCTTTTAATTCTTACTAGACCCATATTTTGTCATTTTAAAACAAAATGAATAGTCTCATGCAGAAGAAAGAGCAATTTTCCTTACAATTTTGGTTTAGCTGTTGGCTTTTGAGAACTTAAGCTAGTATTCTTGTTCTCAATGTAGAACTTTTATTCTAGCTACTTTCTTAAAACATTTAATAGGACCACCTTGAAAATCAGAATAGAAGGGAAAATAGAACAGCATTCCAAAAGCCCATCTTTGTAACAGGGTCATAAATACAGTCCTGGATCTCTCTATTCAAGAATAAGTAGGTTCTTCCATTTCACTTGCAAAACCTCAATACTGTGCCTGAATCTAAAACATACAGATCTCTTTTTAAGAAAGGAAGTTATGACATTTATTGAATTGTTTAATATCCAACTCCTATCAAAAACCTGGCTGAAACTACTGGCATTTGAGGATGACAAAAGGCTCTTTCCTACATCTCATCCCTCTGTTCCCAGTTCCTTGCTACTCACTGGATCAGATACTGGAAAGTTATGCACCTGGATTTTCATACCCTAATTACAAGTAGAATTGTTGTCAGTAGACTACAGTTTAACTTTGTGCTCTACACTTTAACATAAGATAATTTTCAAAATCATCTTTGTACATTGTAAAACTTAACAAAGATACCACCTATATAGGGTTGTTCACCGTCCTCCTTACAAAAACCCACAGAGAACATTCCTGTCAGAACAATTTTAGGAAAACATATGTCTTTGCTGACAATCTATTGTGTTTTTCTTTCCTTCTTACTTTTTTTTTTTTTTTTTTTTTTTTTTTTGAGACGGAGTCTCGCTCTGTCGCCCAGGCTGGAGTGCAGTGGCGGGATCTCGGCTCACTGCAAGCTCCGCCTCCCGGGTTCACGCCATTCTCCTGCCTCAGCCTCCCAAGTAGCTGGGACTACAGGCGCCCGCCACTACGCCCGGCTAATTTTTTGTATTTTTAGTAGAGACGGGGTTTCACCGTTTTAGCCGGGATGGCCTCGATCTCCTGACCTCGTGATCCGCCCGCCTCGGCCTCCCAAAGTGCTGGGATTACAGGCGTGAGCCACCGCGCCCGGCCCCTTCTTACTTTTTTTAATAAAAGGTTCTTGCTGTATTGCACAGGCTTGACTCAAAATCATGTGATCCTCCCACCCCAGCCTCCCTAGTGGCTGGGACTGTAGGCACTTGACGCTATGTGTTTCTTTTTATAGACAATAAAAAGCTTTGTAAACCATTTTTTTCTTGACATCTATGAAGCTCAGAGCTAAATTGTGTGCTTAGTTTTTTGTTACAAATGTATTTCCCCTCCCTATTGACATGCCCTCTTGATTACTAGATTCTTGGGTTTTTGTATTAGTTTTAATGGCTTTATAATTCATTTGTTATTTATTTTACCTGTATTTCATTGTAAACCACCATATCTCTTTTGGAAGTGAGGTGTGATAATAGTCAAGTATTTATTATATTATTGTAGTTTATATTGTTATAAACTGTTATAACAGTTTTTATATAACAATATTATATATAGTTTTATATATTATATATACTATATATTATATAATATAAACTATAACAATATAATAAATATAATGTTTAGAATACTATGTTTTAAATAATGGATTCAAAAGAAGATGATGTTTCACCTTTGCTTTAAATTTTTTTTAATTCTGTAGTCAGAAAATACGTGAAAGACCATAAGCATAGCATGTATACCATCTCTCATGGCATTTAAAACAAATTTATTAGTAGAATTTTTTAATCTTTTTAATATATTAGGTAATGTAAATGTGGTTGAGCTCATATTTTTGTTTTAGTTGGTTCTGTTTCTAATTCTAAATTTTCTTGATTAGGCTTCCCCTGAAAGGTCTACAAGAACTCAGCAAAAAGAATTTCAAACTTACATTTTGGATAGCGTGATGGACCATTTGCTTGCAGCTGATGTGTTATTAGGTAATTCTGTGTTTTTATTTTATAGAAATACCTATAATCACTTTCCTCTCTAAGCCCCAAGTAAAACTACTTTTTAACATCAGCTTTTTTCTTTCCTTTTTTGTCTAGCTTCTCATACTCAACATTATATTTGTGAGATTTGTCTATCTTGTTGCATGTAGCAGGAGTACATTATAGTATTTCATCATGTGAATATATGAATTTGTCATTTTACTCTTGACAGATATATGAAAGTTTTCAGCTTGAGATAATTATTTTAACAGCTGCTATGAACATTCTTGTTCATATGGACCACATAGGTGTACAATACTTACACATAATCTGTTGAGTATATACCTATGAGTGGAATTGTTAGGTCATAGGTATATGTATGTTATCTTTTTAGTATGGCTTCCAGGACATAGAGTCAAAACACATTGAAATGTGTTTTTTCTGTATGTCTGTATCTAATTACAATACAAATATAAAACTTAATACATTTACAGTGAAGCCAACATTTGTGTATAAAACAAAGTAGAATTATAAAAGAAGGAAACATAATGGGTTAGTATACTATATGTGCTACTTTTGAGTTCCTAGCAATAGTGCTAATCATATAACCTCTGTGCTATTAAATTACAATTTTTTTCCCGAAGTAAATTTGCCAGGAAATCTTTAGTATTGTCTCAACATGCAACTGTGCACTCTCAAGTCAATTCACACTTTTGTACTTATTCTTACCAGTTTAGAGCAGTCATACTACACAAAGACACAACACAAATAATTTTGCTTAATGGGGCAATTTAGCATTAGGTGAGAATAATAAAAATCAAATTCTGTGGCACCTCCAGAATTTCTGTGGAGGAAGGGCTTAAAGCAGTGGTCCCCAACCTTTTTGGCACTGGGGACCAGTTTCATGGAGGACAGTTTTTCCACAGACTAAGGGGGGATTACGGTTTTGCGATGATGCAAGCATTACATTTATCATTTGATTCTCGGAAGGACTGTGCAACCCTGGATCCCTTGCATGCACGGTTCATAATAGGGCTTGCACTCCAATGAGAATCTAATGCCGCTGCTGATATGACAGAAGGAGCTCAGGTGGTAATGCTTGCACACCCACCTCACACCTCTTGCTGTGTGGTCCGTTCCATGGCCTGGGAGTTGGGGACCCCTGGCTTAGAGGAAGCATTCTGGTTAGGAGGAGGAGCTAGGAGGATTAGTCTGAAAGCAATATGTATATGGCAAACACACTGAAAACACTCGGATAGCTTTAGAAAGAGAGAGAGCTGATGGTAATGATGGAGGGGCTAAACACACCCCTCAACAATGATTATACTTTATTTTTCACAGTTTTCTTGAAGCTCTCTTCTGTCTGTGTTACTTCACTGCTATTAGAGCTATACACTAAAACAGAGTTTTGTTTCACAGTTTTACCCTTTATTACATACACAAAATCAATTAAGAGCTAATAAACTGGCCCGTTTTCTCTCAAATGGAGAACAGCTGTGACTGACAGTTTATGTTGAGGAACTGCTTGTTTATCACAGACTCTCTTTAGGCAATAGGAGACTCCACAGGTAGTTTCAATCCATAACGCTTTATCCTGCTGAAATTATTTATCCTGATTTCTGGCCATTGAATGTCATTTTCTTCAAGTAGTGCATAAAAGCTAGTAGTCATATTGCTACCTGTTGTAGATACACTTATTTTACCTTAGCCTGATTTTTTTTTTGAGGATCTGGTCCTGTGTTGGTAGATATCAATTTTCTTAGACTTTTTTTCCTACTGGAATTTAGGGGAAGATGCATCTCTGCCTATTACCAGTGGAGGAAGCTACCAGGTATTGGTGAACAATGTGTTTTATTTCACACAGCGTGTGGTGGACAAGCTTTGGCAAGGCATGTTCAACAAAGAATCTAAACTTCTTATAGATTTTATAATTCAACTAATTGCACAGGTAATCCATTGTCACTATCAGTTGTAGAGTACATGTTTTCCTGTTTTGCCTATGGTGTCAAAATTGTTGAAATTAAATATAACTAATAAGATAATGAATGTTAACATTTAAGAAAAAGCTAAGCTTATTAAAAGTGAATAGAGACAGGCTGGGCGCAGTGACTCACACCTGTAGTATCAGCACTTTGGGAGGCCAAGGCAGGTGGATCACTTGAGGTCAGAAGTTGGAGACCAGCCTGACCGACATGGTGAGACCCTGTCTCTGCTGAAAATACAAAAATTAGCCAGGCATGTTGGTGCGCGCCTGTAATTCCAGCTACTTGGGAGGTGGAGGCAGGAGAATCATTTGAACCTGGGAGGTGGAGGTTGCAGTGAGCCAAGATCACAGTACTGCACTCCAGCCTGGGTGACAGAGCAAGACTCCGTCTCAAAAAAAAAAAAAAAACTGAATAGAGATACAGACTTTGAACCCCTCCCCTATTACCAATTGCCTGGTGCCAATGTGTCCTTTGTAAAGTTGCCTAGGTATTATTCTTTGCTACCCAGATAGATTTAAATACCTTAATACAGTAATACAGTTTGGTAGGTTTGTACTGTATACTACATCCATGTGTAAAGGCTTACACAGCATGAAGAGTTGATATTAAAAGAATATTCTCTTATCAGTTGAATCTTTACAAAGTTCCTTGTAGTTTATATTCTCTTGAAGTTGTTATTTTTTGTGCATGTTCACAGTACTTTTAATTAAGGGTTTGGCCTGGTTTGGCACAATTGATTAATCTTATTTAATACTTAATGTAGAAAGTAAGAAATAATTGTTACATGTTTTGTTAGCATATGCTACACAGATACATAGGCTCTGTCATGTCACCTAAGACTTTTCAAAGGGATATATTTGTATTTAAGCCAAAGAGAAAAATTCTCAAATGAGGGGATGAAATTAGAATGTCAAAAAAAAATGATTTTAGTAACATCTTAATTTTTTTCAGTACTTTTGAATATAGATCATTTATCCTAACAAAATATATTTGTGAGGAGACTCCCCTAGCTGTCACATCCTCGTGTTCTCAGGGAGACTGCTCTGCCCCACAGCATCGTTAGTGGCTCTCCTCCCTGGGAGCTCTTTTTTTTTATGTAGCCCTCATATCATTCATTAGATGATATTGATGTGTCTCATGGGTTCTGAAATCCATAATAGTAAGAGCTTTGTATCTTTTAACTTAGCACCTGCATACTTAGCATGGCATCTGGTATATAATAGACCTAATAAAAGTTCATGTATGAATGATTAACAGGTGTTTTACTTTTGTCTATTATACTAAAAACATACCTTTCATGTCTTTAGTCAAAGAGAAGATCACAGGGATTGTCACTGGATGCAGTGTATCATTGCCTCAATAGGACCATCTTGTACCAGTTCTCACGGGCACACAAAACCGTTCCTCAGCAAGTAGCTCTGCTTGATTCACTCAGGGTCCTCACTGTAAACAGAAACTTGATCCTGGGACCTGGGAACCATGACCAAGAATTCATTAGCTGTCTGGCCCACTGCTTGATAAATCTACATGTTGGAAGGTAAATCCTTTAGGTTCAGTTTGCCATGTTAAATTTGGCTTTGATGTTATTCCAACAAAATTCTTTATTTTTTTTGATAGTAACATTTCTTTTACCCTTACTCTGTTTTATTTAAACCTTTATGTAAAAAGGTAAAGGGCAAGTGTTGAATTTTTGCAGTGAAATAATGGGTATTTTTTTTTCCTTTAACTTAGTTTTCTACACCTTTAAAATTTTCCATTATCACCATATGTCACTTATATAAGGAAGTTTGCTTTTAAAGCAAATAAAATATATACCATTGAAATCTAAGAGAAGTAAAAAGTGAAGCTCAATGCAGTGTTATATGTTAAATGAGTAAAATTAGTATTTTTCAGTTGATTGCTTTGACAGATATTTCATTAGAGTCTGCCGGGGCCAAGCATTGAATTAGGGGCTGGGACAAAATGTGAGTATGATAGACCCTGTGGCAGCCTTCTTGAGGGGAAACAGCTAAGCAAGACCAGTCAGCTGTATTGAGTGATCTGCTAGGAACAACCCAGTGCTTTGGAGGCACATAAGAGGGGCCCCTAACCTGAAAGAAATACCTGCTGAGCTGCAGCTTGAGACCTGGTTGGGGAGGACAAGAGAATGGAGACAACTGCTACTGGAGGAAAGAACAGTCTGTATGAATGCCCAGAGGGAAGAAGGAGTGTGGCACCTCAGGGGAACTGCAACTACTTCACTACAGGAGCAGAGTAGTGAGATATAAGACTGGAGAGAGGACACAGGCATATTAGAAAAATGTTCTTAGTTGAATGAACATTTTGTAATTATTAGGTAAAAATGTTCACAATAATCAAAAGGCATGTTAAATATTAAGGTAATAATCTTGATGCTATAGATCAGTCTAATTACATTTAGTCAGGTGGATTTATTTGATCACCTCTTAAAAATGGCATCTTCCTGGCAAACTAGAATTCTGTTCTGTGCATCTGCTGAGTAGACATTCAGTGTCTGCTGGTAATGGAAATAGAGTAATTCTTAGTTACTGTAGTCTTCAGCTAATCATTTCCTTCATAAAGTTTAAACTGACTGGAATTTTTCAGCAACGTGGATGGATTTGGACTGGAAGCAGAAGCCCGCATGACCACATGGCACATTATGATCCCCTCGGACATTGAACCAGATGGTAGTTACAGCCAAGATATTAGTGAAGGTAATTGCCTTGACTTGGGATGTTTTTAAATTGTGGTTGTTTTATCTCCAGTTTTTAAGACATAACCAACAAATTGGCTTCAGAAACTGCCAGCATTGATAGCAACTCTCCCAGTAGGGCAACCTATACATAAAGAGTCTCCTCATGCCAATAACAGTAAAGCACTAACCAGTAATATTGCTAAGCTCATCATTTCTTAGTAACACTGTGAGATTTGGTGGTGGTATTAATATTTACATTTGCTTAAGTAGAAGTACAAATACTACCTTGGAATTAACTATAAAGAGAACTGCCCAATGATAATGCCAGGCATATCACATTAGAGTAGGCTAATATTGCTTGAGACAGGTTATCAATAGTGCTATTTTTTATTCTTCTTTATACTCTCTCTCTTTTTTTTTTTTTTTTTAAACAAAATCTTGCTCAGTTGCCCACAGTGGAGTGCAGTGGCACTATTTCAGCTCACTACAACCTTTACCTTTCGGGTTCAAGTGATTCTCATGTCTCAGCCTCCTAAATAGCTGGGACTACAGGTGCACATCACCACGCCTGGCTTAATTTTTTTTTGTATTTTTAGTAGAGACAGGATTTCACCGTGTTGGCCAGACTGGTCTCAACCTCCTGACCTGAAGTGATCCACCGGCCTTGGCCTCCCAAAGTGCTGGGATTACAGCTGTGAGCTACCATGCCCAGCCCCTCTCTTTTTTTTTTCAATCTGGTTTTCCCACTAATCCTGTAAGGATTGCATATTGAAGTCTTTGTATGGATTGATTTCTTATTTCCACATGTTTAGTGATAAAGAGAAATCACTCTGGTGGTGTTTGTCTCCCCAGAAATACTGTGCGATAGTTTTACATATGGTTTCATTGTTGAGAAGCCCAGCACTCATTTTAATTTCATTCCTTCATTTAAACATGAATTTATTCTCTGTTCTTTCACCAAAATGTTTTGAACCCTAAACACCAAAGATGCGGTTATTATTTTCACCCCCTGAGGAAGTGGCGTTGGTTCTCATAGCAAGGTCCTCAGAATAGCAACATCAATATCATTTGGGAACTTGGTAGAAAAGCAGATTCTGTTGCCCTACTCTGACCTACTGAATCAGAAACCCTGAGGTGAGGGACTAGCAGCTTGTTATCACAGGCCCTCAGGTGATTGCTGAGGGCCGACTGGTCTGGAGGAGGAGTCAGGCATACAAACAAGGAATCCAAAGCAAGAATGAATTTCATAGTAAAAGTCTTTTCAAAATATTTCTTTTCTTGTGCAAAATATTCAAGAATACTAACTTAGTTTTGAACTCACCTTAAACATTCAGATTTAAAAATTACTTTTAAATGGGGGATAAGTTTTTAATCTAGAAAAAGTTAGTTAATTACATATATATAATTTCCAATTTTATAAATAAAAATGTTCTTTTGTATGAATATAAAGTTTTTTTAATGTTTTCTAAATAGGCAACCACAGTTTCAGTTGTCTAAATAACCTTTTCACTGGGCTAGATACAACATGAGCTTTGTTTTTTTTACATTAAATACTGTAGTCGAAATTCCCACATGTAAACATGAAGAAAAATAAAAACTAACTTTATACTGTGTTTTGATCATTTGCTTACTTTTTTGTTTGTTTGTTTGTTTGTTTACTAGGGCGTCAGCTTCTCATAAAAGCTGTCAACAGAGTTTGGACTGAACTGATACATAGTAAGAAACAAGTCTTAGAGGAACTTTTCAAAGTAACTCTACCTGTGAATGAAAGGGGCCACGTGGACATAGCTACAGCAAGGCCACTCATTGAAGAAGCTGCCCTGAAGTGCTGGCAGAATCATTTGGGTAAGGCCTACAGAGATCATACCACCAGGAGATTTACATGTGGCTATCATATATGGGTATACTTTAAATATGTGACTACAGCATTCACAAAAGGATTCTATAAAGTCATCCTTAAAATCAATATAACAACCATTCTAGAATGATTATACTGAGATCTTAGTTCTCTTTGATTTTTTTTTTTTTTTTTTTAGCATCTGAGGTATGTTATACATCAGGCGTTTATGCATTCAGAATGTAATGCATTGCTAACAGCTCTAGTATTGTCACTGTCTTGGCTACAGGTCCACAATCCCTTAACTATAATTTTGAAATTCAAAAAGCTCTGTTTTTTCATTAATTTGGTGCCAAAACTGACTTTATAACAGAACCTAATTTATCTTTCTTTGTCCTACTTGGTATGGGAATATTCATACATTTTGTTGCAGTAATATTGACGTATTAAATTATAGCTTATTACCATAGATTCTCTGGTGGCATTATATAATCTAGTGTATAAGCTGTATAGCCTTTTAAAAATCCAAATAGTTTCTAAGTTGCGAAGTATACCCAACACCAAAGGTTTTAATTAGGTGATTATGAATTATTAATATAGAAACTCGTTATAGTTAAATTTGCATGTTATTACAGAGCTGTGAACTTTCAACCAACTATCAGTTCAGCTAATACAATTTGCGAGCAGTCATCCTTAAGATTACCAATAAATAAATTTGTGATATCTGAATGTAATATCTGCATCTGTAATATGTGCTACTTTTGTTAACTACAGGGTTGTAGTTTATAACCAGATAAGTTTTTAAAGTAAGACTCATAAATACATGGAGAAATTATAAAATAATCTAATTTGATTTTTTAATAGCCCATGAAAAGAAATGCATAAGTCGAGGAGAAGCTTTAGCGCCCACCACACAGTCCAAATTATCCCGTGTCAGCAGTGGCTTTGGTCTTTCCAAGTTAACAGGATCAAGAAGGAATCGAAAAGAAAGTGGTCTTAATAAACACAGTCTTTCCACCCAGGTACTTTTTTAGTTTCATTGCTGATATTAGTTGTAGTATTTTGTATAATATACTTAACATGTACAAGCAATTGATTGGAAATGAAACTTTTCTGTATTTTTGCTTTAGAATAGAGATAGAAGTAATCCAGACTATGGGAATTTCTCTCATTTTCTTATGATAAAACTATATATGAGTGCTATTTACTTATACCCATTTTATAACTGGATATAAGATGAGATTTAGAGATTAATGTATGATCAGACTATAGATAATTTTCTCTCAATTTTCCCAGCTTTCAATAATGTTATTACTAATAATTATATAAATTTTAAGGCAATAGCCAAACAAGCCTTTTTTAATTTTTACAATCTTGTTGTGTATACCTATGGTTTTTTAAAAGCTCATCTGCCTCCAGCATTAACTTCTTCCTCATCCTACTTCCTTCACCATCCCAGAATCTAAGTGGCAGCTATGAAAAGGATCTGAGAGAAATAGTATGTGTCAGCCATCTCATGCATCAGGTTAGGTTTTCTAGGAAGCAAACTCTGAGATGGAGTTTAGTGTGCATAATGTATATTAGGGGGTGCCCTTGGGATCAATACCTGTGGAAGGGAGAAGAAAGCAGGATTGGACATAGGGAAAAGTCAGGCTGCAGTGCTGGTCTAGTGACAGCCTCAGCCAAGCTAAGTGGAGCTTTGAGGACAGAATACCCTCTTATAATTGACCTCCATTAAGCTGAAATGTGTGAGTCTTCTTACCCCTAGATCGTTGGATGTGGGGCACCCCGTCGGCCCTCTGCAGCTAAGGCCATCCCTGAGGGTGTTGAGAGCAGCCCAGACACGTGGGCAGCAAGCCCTTCCTTGAAGGGGCTTTGGGGGTGGGAGAGCATGCAGATCTGTGTCCATCACACAAGCATATAATTCATTCTGAATTTTTTGTTTTAGTTTTCTGTTTTGGTGCTTTTGGCAGAATTTTAACCAATTATTTAGCATTAATTTCAAGGGTAATTAACTATTTTTTTCCAGAAATCCATGAAATATTAAGACTCTTTTTCCATCCATTGTTAGGAGATTTCGCAGTGGATGTTTACTCACATTGCTGTTGTTCGTGACTTAGTAGATACACAATATAAAGAATATCAGGAGGTAAGGACTTATAATCATCATAATGGTTTGTTTTACATTTTTTGTATGTGAAAGGTCTCTGTTTGTCCTGGTATCTTTCTGCCCATTTTAAGGTACTTGCTGGACTGCATTCGTCATCAGATGATGGTTTTAATTATTCCTGCCATCAGCTACTTTGGCTACTGATTTTAGGATGGAAAATTTTAATCTTCTGTCAACAAACTGCATTTCAAAAAGCAACTAACTGAAAATGAGCCCAGCTGAATTCTGTTGACATTCACTACTGATATGTTACATGTCTTTGTTCCTAATAAAAATAAAAATGTAAGAATGAGCCTTCTTTTTCAGGCTTTTAACAAGGAGATTGTGAAAATACGCATCCAAGTCTCTGAGAAGTCTCTTAAAATTGTAAAAAATTACAAGATTGAATGAAATTATTTTTTACTATACTACAAGTGCTTGGTGATTATGTCAGTGAAAAATAAATTTATTGAAATTCTCTTGGTAAATTCATAATTACTCAAAAGCTTATCTTAAATATTTTATTCTCAGATTAGCTATTTTGGATCTATTAAAGGTTTCTGAATGGTTAACTGCTAATATTTTACGGATATAACACTAGATCCTTAGTTTCCCCAACCAAAGAACATATCAGTACTACTGTGATAGATAATTTTTTAATTGTTCACTCAGTAATCTTTACTGTCAGTTATATTTTAGAAATCTTTATTTTTAGATTTAAATTGTATATACTTATATTCCATGAATCATTGGGCAAGTTATTTGTCACTGTCTACTGTTGAAATGTTATATATTTGTCATTTGATAGATAAGAACTTGTACTGTGTCATAATTTCCATTTAAAAAATGGTTTGGATCTATCCCAGTGGCCAGAAGAAAATGGTTTCTCTTTGATTTTTGTATGAACATCAAGTTTCCTCTTAGTGCTGCATGTTTATATTCTTCATCTAAAATCTTTGGAAATGTTTACCTAGTTCACCAGTAATCAAGCCTGTTGGCACTTTTTCTTCATCTGACTTCCTAGAATATCCCCCGTACATGTTGTGGTAGCTATTTTACAGTTTGGTGTATCCTTAAATTACCATATATATTTATTAACGCACATAGGGCTAACCATTTCAATATAATTCATAGTAATATTACCATCTTTCCTGTGCCAGAGAAACAAACTTCTTTCAACTCTCTGTTTCACTATATTGCACACTCTACCCTATCCATGTCTGTCATTTACTTGATGCTTTAAGAAGTCCACCTTCTACAACAAAACCTCTTACTTTAACCATAAACAAATGTAATTTTACTTTTATAATGTTAACTGAAATGGTGTGGATTGTGTTTGTTTCCAAATAATAACTTGATTTTCAGTGACTTGTAGACTTGTTACTGTTACTCCTGCTTTTGCTTGAAAACCGACCTGGACTCTTTCCTGTCAGCGTCAGCAGAATGCCCTGAAGTACGTGACAGAAGAGTGGTGTCAGATCGAGTGCGAGCTGTTGAGGGAGCGGGGGCTGTGGGGCCCTCCCATCGGCTCCCACCTCGACAAGTGGATGCTGGAGATGACAGAAGGGCCCTGCAGGATGAGGAAAAAGATGGTGCGAAATGATATGTTTTATAACCATTACCCTTACGTGCCAGAAACTGAGCAAGAGACAAATGTGGCGGTGAGTATGCAGAATTCAATGATCACAATGGCTCTTTCAAGTTTTTATTTTCCTCTGTAAGCGTTTTTTCTCTATTTAGTCAATTACCTCAAATAGCTAATTTTAAAAATTCAACATACGCTATTAAATTGATAACTTCAGAGTGGAGGTGGAGTGAAAAGATGCAACAGTGCAAGAAGGAGACATCATAATAAAGAGGTTTAGATTACAGACTCCAGAGCCAGACTGCCCAAATTTAAGACCTGACTCTGCCACTTTGCTATTATAGCTGGGTTATGGGTCATTAAACCTCTCTGAGTTTTCATTTTATTATGCCTGAATTGGAGCAAATAATAGTTCCACCTCGTAGGACTGTTAGGAGGATTTAGTTCATTAAAATTAGTTAAGTACTTAGAATAGTGTCTGGTCCAGAATAAGCACTGTATATTAGAACACATGAATCTTCTAAGTAGCTCTGATCATATAAGGTGAGGCAGCTTGAATTGTTCCAATGCCTCTTGTTTTTCTCTGACAAACACCCTGGCTCCATTTATCTTGTACTGATTGGTTTAACCCCAGTCCTGATGCTAATATAGAGCTTAGCATCAACTTAAGTGTCTATCAGCAGAGTAATAGATAAAGAAAATATGCTGTGTATACATAATGGAATAGTATTCAGCCTTAAAAAAATAAGGAAAGCCTGTCATTTGTAACAACGTATAAGAACCTGGAGGACATTATGTTACATGAAATAAACAAGGTACGAAGGACAAATACTACATGATCCATCTCACTTATATGGGGCATCTAAAACAATCAAACTCAGAAACAGAGTAGAATGAAGGTTTCCAGAGGCCAAGAAGTGAGGGGAATAGGGAGATGTTGGTCAAAGGGTACAGTCAGATAAACAGGAGGAAATCATTTTTTGAGATCTATTACATTCCATAGTGACTATAATTGATAATAATCTATTGTACATTTCAAAATTGCTAAGAGTACTTTTCAAACGTTCTTGGCACAAAAATTGTTAGGTATTTGAGGCGATGAATATGTTAATTAGCTTGATTTAATCATTCAAACCATATACATATAGCATTACTTTGTACACCATAAACAATTACAATTTGTCAATTAACAGTAACATTTTTAAAATAATAATATGCGTAGGTCTTAGCTCCTGCTGATAGTTATTAAGATTTTGGAAGATAGCTCTCTAAAGTCTACTTTTCTCAAAGCTATTCAATTCTGCCAAGAATGCCATACTTGATGCAGCTGTGCCTTAAAGCACTATAATTTCTAATTCTGGAGCACTGTGTAAAAAAGGTAATCCACCCATATTTTTGCAGCCTGTTACTAGCACTTACTTTTATAAGAGCAAAGCAACAATATGATCTTTCAGTTCTTAATCTTTTTTCCCTAACAATCTATTAAGAATTTAAGCCATTAGCAATTTGATAAAATATTTCTTATTGAGTCACTTCTTAAATTGAATCCATTCAAGAATACTAAAATATAAATATGCTCTCCCAAATATATGACCAGCTCACTGTTTAGATTTAACTGAGGCATTTACTTTTGAATTATTTTTACAATAACCATAATATGTTTTATCTATACTCCTTTCCTTCCTTATAATAATGTCATTTGTTTACAAAAGTGTATTTAAACTTCTATATCAGATAAAAACAAAGTACCCTATTAAGAGTTCACATCTACAACCGTAGTATCATCAGCATTTTACCTAGGCAAAGGAATTCACCAACCTGTGAAATCGAAACAGACACGCTCATAAATAAGTATGCACCAGATGGAATTTATTTTTTTAACAGGTGGGTTACATATTGGAAAATACTAGACAGTTGAGAAATGTTGGAGATGCTTTCACCTAAAAGGAAAAAGCAGTCAGGAAGGAGAGACAGGTACAGAATGTAGAATTCATACTGCATAGTTCATGCACAAATCAAGGTCAGGATTAATCTGCTATGATGAAATTTTCTGAAGTAATTTTTATTTTGGTTTTAGTAGTTCACATCTTTTGTAAATTTGAAATGCCATTAAATGTCAACTTGTATCTTTTGGAATGTGCATTCCGGCAGAGTTAAAAACAAATTTTCAAAAAGTGGTAGTATCTATTATCCCACTGAATTCTACCATCAAATCAAAAAAGAGGAGCTAATATTTACAAAGCACAATGAGCTAGATCAAGGTTGTCCAATCCGAGGCCCACAGGTCACATATGGCCCAGGATGGCTTTGAATGCAACCCAACACAAACTCATAAACTTTCTTAAAACATAATGAGACTTTTGCCAGGCGCAGTGGCTCACACCTGTAATCCCAGCACTTTGGGAGGCCGAGGCAGGTGGATCACCTGAGGTCGGGAGTTCGAGACCATCCTGACCAACATGGAGAAACCCTGTCTCTACTAAAAATAGAAAATTAGCCAAGTGTGGTGGCGCATGCCTGTAATCCCAGCTACTCGGGAGGCTGAGACAGAATTGCTTGAACCAGAGAGGTGGAGGTTGCGGTGAGCCGAGATCACGCCATTGCACTCTAGCCTGGGCAACAAGAGCAAAACTCCATCTAAAAAAAAAAATACAGAGAGAGAGATTTTTTTTTTAAACTCATCAGCTATTGTTAGTCTTAGTGTATTTTATGTGTGGCCCAAGACAATTTTTCTTCCAATATGGCCTAGGAAGCAAAAAGATTGGACACTCCTGAGCTAGATGCTCTATAGAGCAGTTTGAATGCATTTTGTTTCAGTCTTATAACAGCCCTCTGAAGTACAGTTAATATTGTTATCCCAGTTTTACAGATGAGAAACTGAAACCTAGAGTAGTTAAGGAACCCCTTCTAGGCTGCAGCTGCTAAATAGTGTAGTAAGGTAGGAGTATATTTCAACAGTCCCCTAGTTGAATCACTTTGAAAAAGAAAAGATTCTAATGTTTGCCCATTTTATGACATTATCCATTGATAGTGAATGTATTCCATATTAGGTTTTATCTCTCTAGTGCTAACAAAGTGCCTAATACTTAGTGAATATTGAGTGAATGAACTGCCAGCACTCTTGTCTTCCCTAAGTTATAGACTTTTTTCCTTTGCTTTCTCTTTAGCATTCTATAGAATTTTCCTAAATCTAAAACTTTTCCACTAAAATGGCCTCGAATTCAATTTTATGGGCCCTGTAGTTTATGCAGTTTAAGGAGAGGGCTCTCTAAGAAAAAGAGTAAAAATTATGAATATAAAATTAGTAGGGCTTTGTTTCCAGGGTTTTGAAAGGGACTCAATGGAAGTGAAGGCCACTAAAGTTTAAACTACCTTAACTTCATAGTAAATCCACCTCTGCCCTGATCTATATTAAAAAATATTGCCTCCCAGAGTTAGAGATCAATCAGTTCTTTCCTTTAAACTTCCATGAATTTATTGCCCTCCTTGCATGCATGTTTAATATAGTCAGTACTTTTTGTGATAGAATAGGTTTGTGCCAACCTAAAGTTGCTTTTGAAGCCTCTTGATATTTAAAAGAGACTTTACCTGGTGCAAGGGCAAATGATTTGATCTTTTGCCTTATTGATTAAAATAATTATTATTTCTCAGTAACATTTCCTTTTTTTGTCCTGTCCCTTAAGCTGAAGAATACAGTGGTGATTCAAAAGTTAATTTCTTGTTTTAAAGTCTTTGATTTGTTAGAAATAAATCAGGTGATTTTTTTTTTTTACTCATTAAAGTTTTATTTCTTAAACTTTGATAATGTTACATGCTGTATAACAAATAGCTTACCTAGTCTAAGTTTTGAATTTTATTTATTGATTTTAAATTGGATGTTTGTGTATAGAATATGGAACATATTCAGACTTTAAAGCGTTAATAGTTTATCAACTATAATTATTGTAATAAAAATAGTAATAATTATTAATATCGAGAAAAATTAAGTACATATGGAAAATTCTGTATTCTCATATAAAAATGATTTGTACTCTTCACACAGTAACCTTCCTTGGGGAGTAATTTTCATAATTAAAACAAATGAATTATACTATAATTCTGTATTTTAAACAAATATTATAGATAGTGTAAGATGTAAGCCTGGGATATGCTGAAAATTCAAAATCTGGTTGTTCCTCTGAATCCTAAGGGAGGAAAATAATGTATATTTTGCCATTTAAAAAAAAATTATATTTAAATATTAACTAGGCTTTAATTCTATAATTCCCTTATTTTTAAAGAATAATAATCTCAAACACATTTACTATTATTTGCAAAGTTCATTACAGTGAAGAGTTTGTCTGCCTATTAATTTGGGGTTACTTGGGCAGGAAGCTAGTCAACTTTTAGGTTCCTTTTCTAACTAGGAGAGTTTCTTGTGGCTGCCTCAGTATATATTTTTATATAATGTATAAATGTCACAAGACTCACAGAAACTAAGCAGCTCATTTAGGAAATTTCATTGCCAGCATTATAGAAAAATTTGAAGTAAAAGGACTATAACATTATTTGCTAGAAATTCTGACTTTGAAAAATGCAGGTTTCTAGGTAAAGAATTATAGTAATAATTTAATGCTTTTTTAAATAAAAGGAAGCCAAAATAATGCTAAAATTATTGGTATAACATATTTACTATTGAGTGCTGGGCCTTTTAGTAAAATAAGAACCGGTTAATCAATCAGTGAGCAAATATGTATTAAATCAACACTGTATCATATGGTACCAGGAAAAATATAAGGGTATACTTAGTAGACCCTGCCTACATCCTGGCTGGGAGTATATATAGTGAATGTCACAGTTAGGTGTGACATTAGTAATTGGTCTGTTTTGTTGTACTTATTTGTTGCATATCTATCCAACAGTCTATCTTATTTTTTTATTCATTTGTTTTAAGACAAGTTATCGCTCTGTTGCCCAGGCTGGAGTGCAGTGGTGATCTTGGCTCACTGCAGCCTGGACCTCCTGGGCTCAAGTAATCCTCTCGCTTCAGCCTTCCAAGCAGCTGGAATTACAGTCATGCACCACTATGCCAGGCTGTTTTTGGATTTTTTGGTAGAGATGGGGGGTTTGCTATGTTGCCCAGGCTGGTCTTGAACTCCTGAGCTCAAGCAATCCACCCACCTCGGCCTCCCAAAGTGCTGGGATTATAGGTGTGAGCCACCGCTCCTGGTCCTATCTTGTTTTTGTTTGTTTGTTTTGTTTTGTTTTGTTTTATGAATTTCAGAGCAGGTTGAAGAATCCGTTTTCTTCACTTTCATATGCATATTATGAGTTCAGTATTTGTTTACAATTCTTTTTTTCCTGAAGGAAATTTTATATACATTGAAATATACAAATCTTAAGTGTACTGTTCAGTGATTTTTTTTTCTTTCTTTTTTTAATGTTGGATTTCCTGATCTGTTTTTGCCATTAAAATACTTTTATTTTATTATGGTCTAGTCAGTGAGTTTTAACAAATATATACATTATACTTTTATCTTCTAAATCCCTACCAAGATAAAGAACATTGATTAGATGTTAAATATTATTTTTCAATATAAGATATACCTTTACAAGTTTGCTTTTAAAAAGAAAGAATCACTAAAACCATGTGAAGTATTTGTAAGTATGCCTAGTGGGCCATGGTTTTGCCTTGGTAAGCAAACATTTGTGAAAACATTTTGCCTGCTCATGTTTACTATAGGGAAAGGTACCAGAAGTCATCACCAGATATAAACCATGAACAGGAAGGAAATTCGGAAGTGGTTTTTGGTTGCATTATTGTCTGTAGCTACCTGTGTGCTTACATGAAGCCACATGCTACAGCTCAACAGAATTGCCTTCTTATTAACCAGGATTTTATTCTGAAAATAAAATATAAAGCCATTACCTAATTCTTTTAAAAGTACTCTAGAAAAGCTTCTGATCTGGGGGCTGATGATCCAGTCTACCCTCTGCTTTCACCCTTTCTGGGATGGTAAAGGTAGTGAAGGAAGTAGATCCTTATGCTTTTAAGGGAGGATTCTTAAAGAGAATGATGTCTGTGGTATGGAGTATTGTAAATGATAGCTTAAATCAGCCGTTTGCCCCTGTTACAACACAGATTTAGGGATAACCCCAGGGAAAGGAAGATGGAAGATACTAGCTAGCATTAGGTTCTATTATCCTGATTTCAGGTTTTTTGTTTTTTGTTTTTTTTTTTAAACAATGTAAAGAGTTGCCTGTAAATCATCCAAGTCAATGGCAGCCTGTGCTGAAGTTTTGCCTGTGTGATTTGTAAGAGTTTGTCCTGTTCAGTAGCACTGAGACGTTTGCCGTATTTAAGCTTTACTTAAAACTGCTTTTGATCTGTGAGACAGTAACCACAAGATGCTTAGTGATTATTTAAGCTGCTTAGGCTATCATGTTAATTTTGTTTGAGTAACTACATCTTTCATATTTCATACAATCCTCAAGAAAAATTTTATTTTTGTGTTCCTCTTTATGTTTTTTTTTCTGATATGTCTATACTTAATACCCTGTTTTCAGTCTGAGATCCCAAGTAAACAGCCTGAGACACCCGATGATATTCCTCAAAAGGTAAAACACAAATTACAGTAAAAGAATGTAAACTACTTGTAGTTTTGTTTTTTGTTTTCTGGTTTTTTTTTTAAGTGCATGGTAGACTAGACTAACTTAAAAGATTGGCTTTCAATTTGTTCTTCCTATAAGTTCCTTAGAGTTGAACCGTTGGTTTCATTCAGGCTGAGAGATGTTGTTCTACTGTTGCTCAGCTTTTTCTAATTATCTCTTTTTAGGATTTATATGCCACTCACTAACAGACTGAGTTTTCACTGCTCTCACTATAAAAACATCTTTTGCTTCACACATAAACTAACAAATTATGAGGCATGTTAGTAATGGGCAGCCTGGCATCTTCAACTTTTCAGTGACTCATTTAATTCTTCTAAATACTAAAGTGTATATTTTGAGAATGCAACAGTGTCTCCTCTTTTAAAATTATTTTTTTCAATCAGAACGAATGGAAACAAAGAGTGTGTGATCACTTTTTAAAATACAAATTTATTTTAATTAGTAGAAAAGTTAATTATCGTTTTTGTATTCCAGAAAGATGAAAGTACATAATTTAATAAAAAATGTAGTTTTTTAGAACACAGAAATGTACATCAAAATATTTAGAAAAAAATTCTTTTAGGTCAATTTTAAATCTGTACATGAAGTCAGTAATCAAGTAGATGCTGTCCCTCATCTATTAATTCATTGTCTTGCCCATCACTAACTATGCTTTTATCTTTTTAAATATTAGCAATTTTGAGTTGAAAATACCTCACATAAAAGAATTTTTATGGTACAAAATCTACGACCTTCCTTTCAGTTTCAAAAATAGTGCAGTGTTCTTGTTTGTTTACCCATCAGTTCCTCCAAATTGTAATATTGTACATCATTTTAATACTTTGCTATGTCAAGTAATATTTTCAGTCTCCATTTGCTGTATATCATTCCTCAGTTCACTGGCAACTCTCTTTATTTCCTTGCTCTGTACCTGAAGTTAAAGAAGGTTAATGTGGCTTGACTTAGTTATCTTTTTATCTAAAATTTGGTTCAGTATCTCATTCTACATGTCTCACCCAAAGGACACTTGTTTTCCACTTTAGTTGGAAATCACTTAAAAAAAATGTTGCTTGAAAAGGGCATTGTTGTAAATGATGCATATTGATTATTTGAGTTTGAAGAGTAGACGGGTAGTAAAATTTTTAAAATTATATATTCTTGTTTATAGGAAAGTAAAGTCATATTTAGAAGGGGAAGGTTTTAAAGCATGTTTCAGATTTCATCTTTTTAAAATTATTAATCCATAGTCTGGGTCTAATTCCGATCCGAGGAACCTATATACATACAAACTTTTCCCTCTGTCTGATATTTTATAGGATATTTTAGATCTTAGTTTCTCATCTTCCGTGATTTTAAGGGGAAAACAATTTAAGTCAGTTGGAGAACCTGTTTTGAGAATAAAGGCTAATCAGGAAAAGAAATGTTCATGTATCATGTTCTAAAACATCAAATCCTTATGTTTCTAGGTAATTAATTTCTTCTTCAGAATGGACTGCTGTATGTTCATTAAGAATGAGTATATCAAATACTCATTTAGTTGAGTTAGTTATGGATCATATTCCTTTACACAACAGACAATGAGAATGAGCAAATTGGAGATAGCAGCTTGCAGTGGCAAGCTAACCAGAGTGTCACCTGGCATAAAACTTCTTGATTCCTTTTTGGGTCAGGACTCTCAGAAGGATCTGAAGAAGATTTTGGCCATTCTCAGTGAAACCTGGGAATATAGGAAAGAATAGGCCAGTTGAGTCTCTACCTCCAAGTATTTGAACTACACACTCACACCGATTATTCTGAGTGTGTGGACCTTTAGGCCTGACCTAATTACTTCACTTGGGGTGGAAGTGAAGTTCCAGGCTCCTCACAGACTAGACAGGCTGTTTGCAGCTTGATGCTCTTCAACAGTGATCATTCTCTTTACCGGATGGGGAGGTTTTCTCATACACCAAAGAAGACACACTGCACTAACACAGAAACATTTTTTGGCTAGAGATTATTTCAGGAAGAACAAAGCTGCTAATATTGTTGTTTTATGTATGTCTTTTAAAAAATCAATAGAATTTTAAAATAGAGAAACTTAACCCAAAAGTGTGGATTTACTGTATATACATACAGTCTATGAAAAGCCCCTTTAAAAAGGTAACACACCTTGACACCATACCTTCCCTCAAGAATATTACGTTTTAATTCTTGGTGATAGTTATCGGAGTCATTTTCTTTTGTCATTTCTTAGAAACCTGCTCGATATAGAAGAGCCGTAAGTTATGACAGTAAAGAGTACTACATGCGACTGGCCTCTGGCAATCCCGCCATTGTCCAAGACGCCATTGTGGAGAGTTCAGAAGGTGAAGCTGCTCAGCAAGAACCAGAGCATGGGGAAGACACTATTGCTAAAGTCAAAGGTCAGCCTGCCTTTTTGATTTTGATTAAAAGTGATTTTGGAACATTCTTGTATTTGAATTCATACAAAAATTTGAGCAACTATAAATAGTAGGGCCAACTTTAAAAATATCCATACACATTTTACCATCTCACCCTTCTTAAAGATTGATTTCTTTGTCAGAACTAAAAAGACTTGCTCTTGTTTATTGCCTACAAATGAATATCACGTGCCCATTGGCTTAATGGTTTTTTAATTGTATTTCTCAGAATTCTCAGTGGCACTTGATATTTAGTTTTTTTAATACACATATGTATTTTTTCATGACACAGCATCAGGAGGTATTGAGAACATGTGCCTTGGCACTTGATATTTTAAGGGCTTAATAACTAAATAAATATTTATGAAATTAAAACTAAACCTGTCATTAGTGCATATTAGCCAATAGTAAGGAATAATGGTCTTTCTTCCTATGAGTTGAGAGAGATTATCCCAGATCTAAACTTTAGGAGCTGAGTAGATGATGAATTGGACTACAATGTCCATAGACTTTCGGATTCTGTACTTTTACATGTGGTGCCTTGAGCCTGAAATGGTTTCTTCTTTTCTACAGCTTCTCCATTATCCCTACCTTAACACATCCTACTCAGTCTTAAACTCACTGGTCATATATAAAATCATCCTTCTCTAAAGTCTTCTCCAACTCCTCTGTTCACTGATAATACTTCGCTCATGTCTGTTATAGCAGTTTCAGTGATTTTTTCACTGCTGTATGTTTCCACTTTCTAATTTATGAGTTTTTCTCAAAGACAGATTTTTTTTCTCACTTTATAAATTTTGACACATGACTAGCACAGAATGAGGATTCAATCAGTTCAACTGAGTAAGTAAATCAATCCATTGTTTTAATCTTTGTAAGCCTCTGATTCACCACAAATTCAAAAGTCTTTGCATAGTCTATAAAGCCCTAAAGTGTAAATTAAGATTTTAAGTAAAAGTTAGTTTTAAAATTAAAAACTAATAAATTAAAAATAAGTTTTAATGAGTTAATAAATTAAAAATGAGTTTCAGATTGTTTTAAAAACTGATAGTATATGACTGTGTCAACAAAAAACACTATTGAGATTGTGATCAGTTTCTCCTGTTGTTATGACATACCTGTTCTCTCATGTGATGACTATGACTTACTAAACATTTTATAATTGATCCAACATTTTCATGAAATCACTGAAACTGTTCGTAGTTGAACAGAGATTAAAGCCTTCTAATTTTGTTGACATTGCACCAGCATAGTTATTGAATTGGGTCCAAAGCTGTTGCTGGATACAAGCCAAGGTATAATTCACAGAGTTTGATAGATTATTTGTGTTTAGGTCATTGGCTTTTAACTTCTCTGGCCTGATTTTCCTAATCTCTAATTGAGCTAAAAGCGCAAATATACAGGGTATTATGCTAGACATAGAAATGGAGGTTTTGATTCATTAAGCTAAAAATAAAGCAGCTGTAAGCTTTCCACCCCTTGT
Organism: Homo sapiens; assembly: GCF_000001405.40. Classification (NCBI taxonomy): domain Eukaryota; kingdom Metazoa; phylum Chordata; class Mammalia; order Primates; family Hominidae; genus Homo; species Homo sapiens. Next base: position 84,722,924 of record NC_000004.12, on the reverse strand, counting down.
GGATGTTCTCTGCAGGATTTGATCTCTCTTGCTTACTTATTACACTTGTTCAAATATGAAAACAAGGCTCTTCTCAAGGCAAAGCAGAACCTCTGATAAGTAATATTCAAAGGATAAGACTCAGGCTGACTTGTGCTTTTCCAAAGTGCTTAGAGCAACTGTAACAGGCAGGTATAGTGTTACTTTGGATGGCACAAAGAATATTAATTTAATCAAAATGTGTGATTTGGCATGCATTTTAAGGACTTCTCATACTTTGGGTCCTCACTGGTTACTGTCAACTGATTTTAAATTATCGTACTGTGATTATTAAAAAGTTGTCAAAATGTAGGTAGTAAAATGTTTCCTTAATCTGCAAATTACATTATATGTCCTTGTATTATAAAGAATTCTGTTCTTTCTGACCTGGTATTTTGATCAAATTAATTCATGTATGAAAAGCCATACTGCCACTTGTGAAATGAGGCATGAAATAGTCTTCAAGAGCCCTCCAAGTAGGTGGGATATCTTGTAATCATGTTTATTTTTTACTTTTTTTGAGACAGAGTCTTGCTGTGTCACCCAGGCTGGAGTGCAGTGGCGTGATCTCAGCTCACTGCAACCTGTGCCTCCCAGGTTCAAGCGATTCTCCACCTCAGCCTCCTGAGTAGCTGGGACTACAGGCATGCACCACCACACCCAGCTAATTTTTGTATTTTTAGTAGAGACGGGGTTTTGCCATGTTGCCCAGGCTAGTCTCAAACTCCTGACCTCAGGTGATCTGCTCCCCTTGGCCTCCCAAAGTGCTGGGATTATAGGTGTGAGCTACTGCACCCAGTCGTAATCATGTTTATAATTTGCTGTCTTTATTTTTGTGACAATCATTGATTATTTATTCATGGTGTCCCCTTAATGACACCTACCTAAGCTATACCATTCTTACTATTATAGCTTTCTGTTATCATCATTACCTGACACTATTGAGAATTTATTATGCATTAAGCATAATGCTAAGCACTTTACATGAGTTACCTAATTTAGTCCTCCAACAATCCTCTAAGATAGTGTACTTGTACCATGTTTTTTGTTGTTGTTGTTGTTGTTGTTGTTTTAAGACAGAATCTTGCTGTGTTGCCCACACCTGGCTCTTGTCCCAGTTTTATAGATAAGAAACTAAGGTTCAGAAAGTTGAATAATTTTCCAAGGTCATTAACTCCAGAGGACTATGTTCTTAACCACTGAATGTGCTACCTCCCTATACCTTCCAAAATTGTCTCAAATTGGAAATCTATAGAAGGAACTACATGAGACTAAACTGCTTCCCCACAAGGTCCTTACAATGCCACATGGCCCTCTTGGTTATTATACTGTAGGTTTGGTCAAGCCTCCTCTAAAACGCTCCCGATCTGCACCTGATGGAGGAGATGAGGAGAACCAGGAGCAGCTACAAGACCAGATTGCTGAGGGCAGCTCCATAGAAGAGGAGGAGAAAACAGATAATGCTACCTTACTGCGCCTGTTAGAGGAAGGAGAAAAGGTATTGTGCTTCTGAAAAGTAAGGATTGTAAATACTTCAGTAACATATTATTAAGACAAGATGAGTTGATAGGGTAGCTGTGGAAAGTAAATGCATTAGCCTCGGTAATAAAATACAGCTTAAGCAGCCTTTTGGGTTCAGTACTCTACTTTTCTCATCTGTAAGGGTTTTCTCATACCCTGAAACATTAAACAGCATAAGATTTTATCAGATACAGTGTTAACAACTGGCATCTAATTCTTTCTTCCTCTATACCACAGATCTTGCCATAATTCTCTATTTCAAATCCATGTAGACAGCCTATTCAGTAATCTGGCCTTGTATTTTTTTCTACATCTCCATAATTCCAGTAATAACCTACAAGCGGCTTCAGCCAATCTGGACTGTCACCTCCAGCCTTGGATTATTTAGCCCCTGCTCTCCTTCACTCACAGAAGACATCACCTTCCTATTTCTTGCTCAACCTCCAATACCCTGCTGACCTCTCTGGTCTCATTCCACTGACTCTGTCTTGTAGCCTGAGCCCCTGCAGCCTGGTACACCTTGGAGTTCATTACACCCACCATGTTGTGTTTTTTTTTCCACTCTGCACTTTACTCATTGTGGTTGTCCATGTTGCATTGCTATAAAGGAATACTTGAGGCTGGATAATTTATAAAGAAACAGGTTTGTTTGGCTCAACGCTTCTACAAGCTGTACAAGCATGGCACCAGCATCTGCTCGGCTTCTGATGAGGCCTTAGAAAGCTTTAACTCATGGCAAAAGATGAAGGGGGAATAGGCTTGTCACATAGTGAGAAAAGGAGCTCTTGTGTGAACTGATAGAGTAAGGACTCATTACCGCCAGGACAACACCAAGCCATTCATGAAGGGCCCACCCCCATGACCCAGACACCTCCCATAAGGCCGCACCTCCAACAATGGGGATCACATTTCAACATGAGATGTGGAGGGGACACATATGCAAACCGTGTCACTCATATTGTTTTTTTCTGCCAAAATGCCCCCTTCCTTTTACTTGCATAACCTTTATCCTAATAAATCCTGTGTGTTATAATCCCATTTATCTGGATGTTTGTAATATTCAAACATAGGAAGCTTTTTTTGACTCTTTTGCTACTCAGGCTTGGTTGCATACCCTTCCTCTATACTTTCATGATGCCTTATATATATCACTCTGTATTATCATGTCATAATTACTTGTTCCAGTATCTTTCTTTCTCGTCCTAGATGTCGAGCTCCTTATAGGCAAACTGTGTCTTATCTCTATCTCATTGCCTTACACAGGTCCAGTTGCATAATAGACAACCAGTAAACCTTTGAATGAAGGAATGATTGGTTTAATAAACAAGGGAATGAATGACTTGAATGTGTCATGAATATCACCTTTTTAAAGGATGTTCTTTTGCCTATTATATTAGATCTTGGTATAACCTTTGAGTTCTTACCCTCTAAGAAGTAGTCACTAGAAATTTGAGTATAATCAAAACAGTTCCGTTCAAATGTATGCCCTAATTAATATTGAATGACAATACATTAGAAAAGATCATGTAACTATAAAAGTACACCAGGTATGAAGGAAGCACAAGAGAGGCTTCTAGGAACTGGGGAGCATTCTGTTTCTTGGTCTGGATGCTGGTCACACAAAATTTTTAGCATTTGAAAATTCATCCAGCCATACACTTAGGAAATAAACATTTTGTGTGTGTGTGTATATGTATGTGTTTATATATAATATATGTATGTATGTATGTATATGCATAAAATATACTGCAATAGAGAAACTTTTAAAGTACATCAGGATTGATCAAATGTAGCAATGAAAATTGACTTATATTTAGATATTTTAGAAAACCTATTACAATGCTTTCATTTTTAAAACTTTTAATCTCATGAGTACAGTTTTTGCTCTGGTTGCTTTAATAGTGCAGGAAGTGTATTCAAACTGACATGTGTTTGACTCTGATTTAATTGCTGATTTTTGTCTTGACTCATGTTGAACTAAGTTTAAGCAAGAAAGAGTTTTTAGAAAGAATTAGATACTGCCCTTTGGGAGAAAACAATACTTACTTTGAGAGATTTAGCAATGCTCCTTCCTATGAGGAAAATACAACTTCTGCCAAGCTTGGCTTTTTGCAATAGTACAGTAGTCTCCAGGGAGCAGAATCCAGGTGGGGAATGAATAGAAACAAATTCTACAGTTCCATTTCCAGGGGGTATGATGGAAAAAGAAGGTAAACTGTGTGGAACAGAAAGCAACCAATAATTCCTAACCTGATTATGTACATTATCTCACTTATTTTTCACAACAAGCCAATTAGAAACTTACAAAAAAAGACATGGAGGCTCAGAGAAATTAAGAAACTTGACCCAGTCTACAAAGTGGCAGAACTGGAAATTTACCCTGAGTTAGCAGGCCCTGCAATTTTCACTCTGTATCATCTTGCCTCACATAGAACACAATCCTATTCTAATCTCCTTACATGTATGCCTCAATTCCCTTTCCTGCCAAGTTTGCTGTGTCTGTCTCCCTTCATGAGAGCAGGAGCCTTATCTAATGTTCTTGACTTTTAGAAGCTAGCGCATGTTTGCCTGGCCTACATAAAGTACACCCGGAATATTGAGAGAGATGGGATTGGCAGATGAGTGGATGGGTATGAGTGAATTGTTTAGTTTTACTCTAGTCAGATGTAAATCAGACTGTAATCTAAGCTTAATCTTCTCAATATGCTTAAACTCTGATTTAATATGCTTAGCTCTAGGGATGCCGTAGTAGTCTAACAAAAATTGATCTTTACAAAAAGCCTATATTAATGAATGTTTGTGGGCTTCTTTATAGATCCAACACATGTACCGCTGTGCTCGAGTCCAGGGCCTAGATACCAGTGAGGGGCTCCTTCTTTTTGGTAAAGAGCATTTTTATGTGATTGATGGATTTACCATGACAGCAACCAGGGAAATAAGAGATATTGAAACCTTACCTCCAAAGTAAGTAAATGAATGAAGAGACATAATGTATGGCTATCTTTAGAAGACAGAAAATGTATTTGCAGTTTTCTTTTTTAATCAAAAAATTGTGTTCTAGGTAATGTTATCTCTCGGTTTGTGTGCATTCATCATTACATATTCACAAAGATGATATTCAGTTATTTTAAGGTAATAATGAAAATGTTTGGCTTATTTATCAAGATGAAAGCTAAATAACATTTATTTCTGTGCATTCTGAGTTATTTATATTATAATGTATATATTTACAAATTTATTCTGAATTTATAAATGGTCCTTTTAAAAAATATAGCAGATATACAATTGTAGAGAAAATACTCTTTTTTTTTTTTTTTTTTTTTTTTTTGAGACAGTGTCTCACTCTGTCACCCCGGCTGGAGTGCAGTGAGTGGCAGTGGCGCAATCTCGGCTCACTGCAAGCTCCGCCTCCCGGGTTCATGCCATTCTCCTGCCTCAGCCTCCCGAGTAGCTGGGACTACAGGCGCCCGCCACCACGCCAGGCTAATTTTTTGTATTTTTAGTAGAGACAGAGTTTCACCATGTTAGCCAGGATGGTCTCAATCTCCTGACCTTGTGATCCGCCCGCCTCGGCCTCCCAAAGTGTTGGGATTACAGGCGTGAAGAATACTCTTAAAAATGAAAGAGCATCATCAGGTACTCGGAGCACCCTAGAAACAGCATGACTAAAGCATTAGCAGAGATTTACTGACTGAGTTGTAGGCATCTTCCTTTTCTTCTACCAGTCCTGTGATGAAAGTGGTAGTGAGTAGTGGAAAACTCAGGAGACAGACCAACCTAGAAGAAAGTTAAGAAGCTTAGGGCTTAGAAGATCAACAGGCTGCTTCTCTTCCTTTAACATTTTCCTAGCACCCTTGAACACAGACATTGTTTCTGTAGTTCATTCCTAGGAGATATTTCAAATAATTACTGTCAACAACAATCAGGGTCACATGAAGTCTTTCGTGGGTCCTTTTTCCATACAAAAATATTTAAAATTGTATGTTGTGGCTAATGGTATAAATATAATCTTATATTAAAATGTGTTTTTCTACCTAAAAGTTGATTTTTTTTCTGATTTTTAAAAGAAATTAAGACATTTTCTTGGGCCCCAAAATATGTGAGCTGAGGCACTGTGCTAACCATGTCTGGTAGATAACTTGGTCCTGACAGTAATAAGGGGATTTTTAAAATTATATTCATCAAAGGGGGTTCCTTGTATCTCAGGTAGCTAACAAATTCTTCTTGTAAATATATTTTTTAACTGAAAATTCTGATATATATTACTCCTCCATCCTGTTCATGTGTTTAAAATTAGCACGCCCTTTATGGAACAGTGAATTTATCCCTTGCTGTGTTTTTATTTGCTTTTTCTCTTGGCTGCCTGTAGTATGCATGAGCCTATTATTCCTAGAGGAGCCAGGCAAGGCCCTAGTCAACTCAAGAGAACATGCAGCATTTTTGCATATGAAGATATCAAGGAAGTTCATAAAAGGAGATATCTCCTGCAGGTGAGTCAATTTAGTAGTACTGTTTTATCATGTTTCTTTATTCTGAAAATGTATTGTTTTATTTTATTTTATTTTTTATTTTTTATTTTTATTTTTTGAGACAGAGTCTCACTCTGTCGCCCAGGCTGGAGTGCAGTGGCATGATCTCAGCTCACTGCAACCTCCGCCTCCCGGGTTCACACCATTCTCCTGCCTTAGCCTCCCAAGTAGCTGGGACTATAGGCGCCCGCCACCACGCCAGGCTAATTTTTTTGTATTTTTTTAGTAGAGACGGGGTTTCCTTGTGTCAGCCAGGATGGTCTCGATCTCCTGACCTCATGATCCGCCCGCCTTGGCCTCCCAAAGTGCTGGGATTACAGGCGTGAGCCACCGCGCCCGGCCGAAAATGTATTATTTTAAAATTGATACATGCCATGGAAACCCTCAATAGGATCTGCATTTTTTTTTTTTTTTTTTTGAGATGGAGTCTTGCTCTGTCACCCAGGCTAGAGTGCAGTGGCACGATCTAGGCTCACTGCATGCTCCACCTCCCTGGTTCACACCATTCTCCTGCCTCAGCCTCCTGCATAGCTGGGACTAGAGGCGCCTGCCACCACGCCCAGCTAATTTTTTTCTGTTTTTTAGTAGAGACGGGGTTTCACCATGTTAGCCAGGATGGTCTTGATCTCCTGACCTCGTGATCCGCCTGCCTCGGCCTCCCAAAGTGCTGGGATTACAGGCGTGAGCCACCGTGGCTGGCCAGGATCTGCATTTAGAATAATCCTTAGATATGGTTATAGACAGACTCAGGTCATGTGGATGCATAATTTTGTATAATGCATTTCTCTTGTTTAAACACAGCCTAAAATTTGGGTAATTATCTTTGTTATCCATCTTTCCCTGTAGCTATCCAAATCAACATTTTAGTTTTCTTCTAATATAAAAATTACATCCTTACTATAATTTTATAAAATTATAATTATAAAATTATAATTACTTTTTTTATTCTGTTACTAAAGACTTTAGAAATAAATTGAGCAGAATAAGAAATATCTATTTATTGTGTAGCTTAATCTGCAGGGAATTCATGACTCTAAAAGTGTTAGCAAATTAACTTCTTTTTTTTTTTTTTTTTTTTTTCTGAGACAGAGTCTCGCTCTGTTGCCCAGGCTGGAGTGCAGTGGCGCGATCTTGGCTCACTGCAAGCCCTGCCTCCTGGGATCATGCCATTCTCCTGCCTCAGCCTCCCGAGTAGCTGGGACTACAGGTACCCGCCACCAAGGCCGGCTAATTTTTTGTATTTTTTAGTAGAGACGGGGTTTCACTGTGTTAGCCAGGATGGTCTCGATCTCCTGACCTTGTGATCCACCCGCCTTGGCCTCCCAAAGTGCTGGGATTACAGGCATGAGCCACCGCGCCCGGCCGCAGATTAACTTCTTGAACATTGTAGAAATTTATAGTGGAAAAGTTAATATATAATTTTATTTGTGAACTTCTGTTTTTTCTTAATGTTTTTCTCTCTGATCATTTCAGCCTATTGCTGTGGAAGTTTTCTCTGGAGATGGACGGAATTACCTCCTTGCTTTTCAGAAAGGAATCAGAAACAAAGTCTATCAAAGGTCTTGTTTATTCGGAACACTTTGTATACTATTATGGGAAGATATGGGAGGGGGAATCTTTTCTCAGTTTTGCTGGTTTTTAAAAATCTAGATCAATGAGCCAACATCTTTGAAGAAAATAATTTATATTATTTTTGCCACCCTCTTGAAACAATTATTCTTCTGACTTTTAAAATGGTGCAATTCTATTGTGACATACCATTTTTCCTTCTGGTAACTTATAGTAGAGATCATCAAAAACTACTTTTATCACTAAGTCCTGTGTCTCTAAATACAAAGGATGATGAAACTGTAGCTTTAAAAATAAAACTTTAGTTTCTTTTTTTCTTCTTCTTTTTTTTTTTTTTTGAGACGGAGTCTCGTTCTGTCGCCCAGGCTAGAGTACAGTGGCATGATCTCAGCTCACTGCAAACTCCGCCTCCCGGGTTCACGCCATTCTCCTGCCTCAGCCTCCCGAGTAGCTGGAACTGCAGGCACCCGCCACCATCCCCGGCTTATTTTTTGTATTTTTAGTACAGATGGAGTTTCACCGTGTTAGCCAGGATGGTCTCGATCTCTTGACCTTGTGATCTGCCCACCTCGGCCTCCCAAAGTGCTAGGATTACAGGCGTGAGCCACCCACCGTGCCCGGCCAAAAATAAAACTTTAGTTTCAAAATAAGCTTTCTTTGTATTTACCAAAATGAAGCCAATGCAGTTTCTTGCTATTGAATGCAAGGACTGAGTAAATTTAATTCATGTGGGACTTTTCTCTGGCCATGGAAGGGATGTTGGATACCTTCATCCTTGAAAAAGTAGTATAGCTAAATAAAGCAGTTAATCTAATCTAAGCATATTTTTATCTTTAATAAACTATATTTAAAATTTACCTTTTAAGTGAAAAACAGGCCAAGCCGTGCAATGGCTCACGCTCATATTCTTAGCACTTTGTGAGGCCAAGGAGGGAGGATCACTTTGGTCTAGGAGTTAAAGACCAGCCTGGGGAACATAGTGAGACCCTGTCTCTATAAAAAAGAAAATAATTAGCCGGGCATGGTGGCACATGCCTGTAATGGCAGGTTGAGGTGGGAGGATTGCTTAAGCCCAGGAGGTCAAGGTTGTAGTAAGCCACGATCACACCACTGCACTCTAGCCTGAGTGAGCAAGGCACTGTTTCAAAAAATAATAATGATTTTTTTTTTTTTTAGACAAAGTCTTGCTCTGTCACCAGGCTGGAGTGCAGTGGCGCAATCTCGGCTCACTGCAACTTCCACCTCCCAGGTTCAAGCAATTTTCCTGCCTCAGCCTCCCAATTAGCTGGGATATCAAGGTGCACCACCACACCCAGCTAATTTTTGTATTTTTAGTAGAGATGGAGTTTCACCATGTTGGCCAGGATGGTCTCGATCTCCTGACCTCATGATCTGCCCGCCTCGGCCTCCCAAAGTGTTGAGATTACAGGCGTGAGCCACCACACACAGCCTATAAATTTTTTAAAAAAGGAAAAACAACACACATCTCTGGTACTTAAAAGATAATTCTTTTGAATGTGTGAATAATAAGGCTATTCTGAACTAACCATGTAGATGAGAGGCATTCTCTTGTTCTTTGAAGGGTGATACAGATCCTGGCAATCCCTCCATTATAGAAAATTTTATATTTCAGATTATTTCCATGAGGAATAACTAAACCATCCAACATTGCTTCTCATTGCAGTACAGTAATATTACCCGTGAGCACCTGGGAAATGAGGGTGGTTCTTCAAATAAAGGGCCTGTGGATGTTGATTGGTAACCCAAAACTCCTTTCACATATGGGAAGAGCTAAGTAAAGTGATTGAGATTCACTTTTACTTATCTGATTTTTTTAATTTCTAAAGGTGCTATTGTTTTCAGTGCTAAGAAATTATTTCCTCTTTAGAGAAGTCCAAAATTTATATATTCCTTTTGCCTGCCATTTAGTGGGTTATGGGAGGGTAGACGCAACTATGAAAATCTAAACGAATCGTCCTTTCTTAGGCTTCCCATTAGATCCTGACTGAGACTTCACTTGTAATTTTACGCTATTTTAAATTTTTCAGGTTTTTGGCTGTAGTGCCATCTCTAACGGACAGTTCAGAATCTGTATCTGGGCAACGACCAAACACGAGTGTGGAGCAGGGGTAGGTGGTTTGTTCCTTGCATGTTACAGTTTAATAGTGAAGTTGGGATGATTCATATCTGGACAGTATTATTTAACATTTTAGATGAGTGTTTTTCCCCTGGTGGTTGCAAATTTTTTTAAAAAAATACTGAAAACTAAAGGAAGAAAAGAAAAAGGTATGCATAAGCACTGTGTCAAATCACTGCTCACATTTTGATCAATTACCTTCTGTTCTTTAAAGCATGAGTATTGCTGTGTGCATGATTGAGTTTATACTCTAAATACAAGTTTTTATTCTGCTTCTTCTATTCAGTGTTATATTTAAATATTCCCTCTCATCTTTAAAAAACTATTCAGAAACATAACTATTATTCGCTATCTATTCATCACATATATAAAACATCATGTAATTTTTGGATATTTCATCTTTATCAGGTTTTTGCTTTTTTTTAATTATTGTTAAGAGATGGAGTCTCGCTCTGTCACCCAGGCTGGAGTGTAATGGCACGTCTTGGCTCACTGCAACCTCCTGGGTTCATGGCGATTCTCCTGCCTCAGCCTCCCGAGTAGCTGGGATAATAGGTGCCTGCCACCACACCTGGCTAATTTTTGTATTTTTAGTAGAGACAGGGTTTTGCCACGTTGGTCAGGCTGGTCTCAAACTACTGATCTCAGGTGATCTGTCCACCTCGGCCTCCCAAAGTGCTGGGATTACAGGCGTGAGCCACTGTGCCTGGCATTTATCAGGTTTTCTTATCATAAGACTGGAAATGTGATTCTTCTTTTTTTTTTTTTTTTTTTTTTAATTTTTTTCTTTTGAGACAGTTTCCTTCTGTCACCCAGGCTGGAGTGCAATGGTGTGATCTTGGCTCACTGCAACCTCTGCCTCCTGGGCTCAAGCGATTCTCAGCATCAGGCTGAGCACTTCCCAGCCTGAGGCTGATTCAAGCCTCAGTCTCCCAAGTAGCTGGGATTACAAGCATGTGCTACCATGCCTGTCTAATTGTTGTATTTTTAGTAGAGAAGGGGTTTCTCCATGTTGGCGTGGGTGGTCTCAAACTCCTGGCCTCAAGTGATCCACCCATCTTGGCCCCTCAAAGCGCTGGGATTGCAGGCATGAGTCACCATGCCCGGCTATGATTCTTCATTATTTTATTGTGGTAGAGTCCCCTTAATAAAACAAAGAGTAGGAATTTTAAGGCTCTTGATACACAAAACCAGCTTGATATTCATAAAAACTATACAAGTTTATATTGTACTATTAGTGGATAAGTTTGTCTCAATAGATACTTGCTAACTTTGTATATTATTATTATTTTTTTTTTTTGAGACGGAGTCTTGCTCTGTTGCCCAGGCTGGAGTGCAGTGGCACCATCTCAGTTCACTGCAGCCTCCGCGTCCCAGGTTCAAACGATTCTTCTGCCTCAGCCTCCCGAGTAGCTGGGACTACAGGTGCGCGCCACCACACCTGGCTAATTTTTGTATTTTTAGTAGTGATGGGGTTTCACCATATTGGCCAGGCTGCTCTCAAACTCCCGACCTCGCGATCCGCCCTCCTCGGCCTCCCAAAGTGCTGGAATTACAGGCATGAGCCCCTGCGCCTGGCCTGTATATTAATTTTTTTATTTTATTGATTTTATAAAATGTTTTCTGATTTTTAATGTATATTTCTTTGATTATTAGTAAGCATGAGCTCTGTATATGTTTATTAACCATTTAAAATCATTTTTGTAAATTGTCCGTATCTTTTGCCTATTTTTCCTTTGAGATCTTATCAATTTGTATAGGATTTTTCTACCATAAGGTATTACTCCTTTGCTTGTCATATTTGTTGCAGATTTCCCAGTTTTCCTCTAAATTTTGCTTTTTGACATTTACATTTAAACTTCTGTTTTTATGTATTCTGACCTATCAGTGATTCCTTTATGCTCCTTATAGCTGTGCTTCATCTTAGCGAGGCCTTCTAGGTAACACAGCCATTTCAAGAATCTGTAGACCCAGTTCCATTTATATCACTCAGTAACTAGTAGCCCTTTATAATCGACTGGAAAGAAGCAGTGCTTTGGGGCTGTAAATTAATTATTAGAACATGCAAGAAAATGACTTTTACAAGTTCTAGAGATTCTGTAATTTGTAAATAAATTTGATTCCAGTCTGTGTGCATCTAAATACTTTGTGTATTTCTCTTTAAGTTTTGTTTTTATTTTTCTATAGCCAAGCCTTAACAAATACAATGCTAAATATATGCTTTTTTTAACCCCAGAAACATGTTCTGCTCCTAATCATATGTGTTGTTGTTAACATAAATACAGGAAGTGAAAGATTTCCTTAAAAACATAATGAGCCTTTTTTCTACTTGTAAGCGAATTGCTACTGCTTCCTAGATAATCTTAAACTTGCTATTTCTTTGTTCTTGCTACTGCCTGTGCTGAGTTGGCAGTTCTTAAAGAACTTTAAAGAGCTCAGAGGCAAGAAACAGAAATTCATTTCCAACTTTAATCTTCCATTTCAGTTATCCTCTTTCTTACGATGTTGAAGAGTGATCATGGCTATTTTTCCAAAGAGAGTATCTTGTACATTCAATTTGCCTGATGGAAAGACTATCTCAAAGTGGAAAATAGTACCATCGAGCTGGATGTGTTTAGGATCTAAGGTTTACAAATGTATTAATTTCCTCTCAGAAAAGAAAATATATAAATACTTTCTCCTGGTTCCATGACCAATTATTAATTATCAATATTATAAAGCTGATAAACCTTAAATAGGATTTTATAACATTTTAAGGAAGTCTGCTGTCCCCAAAAAAGTAATGTTTAAATTTTAAATGACCTGGACAGCAATGACTTTCCTGTTATACAATATTCATATTTTCTTTCACTTATTTAATGCATTATGTACCTACTATGTACAGAATATTATATAATATTTCAGTTATTCTAATTAAGTATGCTTGGATCTGTTTACTTAGTGATTATAGTAAAAATTAGAAAGTTAGACTATGGTTAGAATATGGCTCATGCCTGAAGTCCTAATAATTTGGGAGGCTGAGTTAGGAGGATCATTTGAGGCCAGGATCTTGAGACCAACCTGGGCAACATACCAAGACCCCATCTCTACAAAAAATAAATTATAAAATGGTTTTAAAAAGAAAAAGAAGGCCAAGCACTGTGGCTTATGCCTGTAATCCTAGCACTTTGGGAGGCCGAGGTGGGAGGATCACCTGAGGTCAGGAGGTCGAGACCTGGCCAACATGGTAAACCATGCCTCTACTAAAAATACAAAAATTAGCTGGGCGTGGTGGCGAGTGCATGTAATCCCAGCTACCCAGGAGGCTGAGGCCAGAGAATCACTAGAACCCAGGAGGTAGAGGCTGCAGTGAGCTGAGACCATGCCACTGCAATCCAGCCTGGGTGACAGATCGAGACTCCGTCTCAAAACAGAACAAAACAAAACAAACAGAAAGTTGAACTAGATCAGTGTTCTTCCAACTCTTTTGAATATGACCTAGAGTAAAAAATATATATTACATTCATCCCAAGGCACATAAATGGAGTTATAAATACTCAACTCAAACAAAATTCACAAAACAATACTTTTTCTTACTATATGTGATGCCTTCTGATGTCCTCTGTTTTCTTCAGTTCAGTTCTATGTTACTTCATATTTCAAAATGCTGATCACAACCCACTAAACTGATTTTATGACCCACTAATAGATCCTCCATAGTTTGAAAAATTCCTGGACCAGGTGACTTAAATTTTTCAACTTTATAATTTTTCAGATTTAAAATTTTATTGCTTGTAATTTATTGTATTATGTATTGCTTTTAGATCTGGGTTACTTAGCACTTTGGTTGGAGAGAAGTCTGTGACTCAGAGATGGGAGGTAAGTTTAATGAATATATGAGCTTCCTTAGAAGTTCGTAATTAGAGTAGAAGTCATACAGTTAAAAGCACTTTAATTATCCATAAAATATATACCATAGAGAAAATGTTTTATTTTCATTCTTTTTAGAAAAAAAAGTATTTCATTGTTCTGAAATCTGTTAAAAAGAAACTGTCCTTTACATCATTTTGTATATAAAATTTTAAAAGCTGAACATAGTGGAAATAATCGATAGCTCAAAAATGAATATTTATCTTTTTCCAGAGAGGTGAAATCAGCAACTTCCAATATTTGATGCATTTGAACACTTTGGCTGGCAGATCATATAATGATCTCATGCAGTATCCTGTCTTCCCCTGGATCCTTGCAGATTATGACTCAGAGGTAAATCTTAAGTCATTTTGCTTACGTAGAACACATTTTCAAAAATAATTTTAAAATACGACAATTGAAGTGGGGTGCAGTGGCTCATCCCTAAAATCCTAGCACTTTGGGAGGCTAAGAGAGGCGAATCACTTGAGCCCAGGATTTTGAGACCAGCCAGAGAAACAGGGCGAAACCCTGTCTCCACTAAAATTACAGAAATTAGCCAGGTGTGGTGCCAGACCCCAGATGTCCCAGCTACTCAGGAGGCTGAGGTGGGAGGATTACTTTAGCCCAGGAGGTGGAGGCTCCAGTGAGCCAAGATTGCACCACTGCATTCCAGACTGGGTGACCAACCAAGCAAGACTCTGTCTCCACAAAGAAAAAAAAAAAAAACTACGGTTGCCTAAATGTTTTATTTGGTTTGTAGTTTAATGTTCTCAATAGGCAAAGGCACTTAATTCAAATAGATGAGAAGCATTTAGCACAGACATATAAAAAGTTTGGATAATTGACCCACTTACTGAGTACTGGCTATTAATTCATAATATCTCTTCAGTTTCTTTAAGTGCGGATTAATTTGCATCTATTGGTGGATGTCAGAATCCATCTGTGTAGTTTGAAGTGTTTGTTAGGAAAACACAAAGTAACTCTTCTACAAAATGTTCCTGCCATATAAAAGAAATTTTTTATACTATTCCAAGAAGGCTTGGTAGAAGATTTCCAACAATTCAACATGTACATGACTTAAGTCTCAAAATCAAGAACACATAGATGCATATGAATATTTTGATTCCCCTCTTCCTTTGCCTCCTGTCTGATAGACATCTGATTAGTTCAGAAATGAACCATAACAGGCAAAACAAAAGACACTTAGCCCTAGGTAAACAAACAAAAAGATTGTTTTTAAAATTCAGAAATTCAGTGAACGTTCTTATTCACTAGAATCATGACTGCTTATCCTTTCAGAAATTTTAGACATCAACATATTAAGGGGAAAGATAAAACTATCCTCAGAAAATTTTGGTCTAATGAAAGAATGAAAGGAAATCCACCCTATATGCATGGGTGTACGTTAGTTCATTTGATGTGTGAATCTATATATTTGCTTGTATAGTTAATTTGCATACCTAATGCACAATAAATAAATAATAAAAGGAAAAGAAGAGCTCAGGAGTAAAGATTGATAAATGAAAATATTTTTTCTTTAAGTCAATCAAGGAAAGTTAGAAAGAAAATGTAGATTTTTTAAAGAGACAGGAAGTCCAAAAGAAATGTGGTTTTCTGAGAAGGGAGTGGAGTACTTTGTCAACTCATATTTGAATATGTATCTCATAGGAACATGGCAGGTCCCATTACTGAACCTTCAGTTCTCTACCACATTCTCCCGATGCAATTCTGACCTTCACCGTGTATTCCCCATCTCAGGAAATGGCACCATCATCCATGCTGTCTTACAGGCTGGAAATTATACTTTTCCTACTGTCCATGTCTGCTCAGTGGCCAAGGCATGTCTACCTTTGTCTCCATCAGTGTACCCAGTGTCTCATTTCAGGCCCTCCTCATCTTTATTGGACCATTGCAGCAGTCTCCTAACTGGGCTTAATGCTCTAGTCTCTCCTTCCTTCAGTGTGCCCTCTACACTGCAGCCAGTTTCAGGAACACTAATTGAGTCATCCCCCTGTTTAAAATCATTCAGTGACCAGGTGCTGTGGCTCACACCTGTAACCCCAGAACTTTGGGAGGCCGAGGAGGGCAAATCGCATGAGTCCAGGAGTTCAAGACCAGCCTGGTCAACATGGCAAACCCCATCTCTACAAAAAATTAGCCAGGCATGGTGGCATGCATCTGTAGTCCCAGCCACTCAGGAGGCTGAAATGGGAGGATCACTTGAGCTGGTGAGGTGGAGATTGCTGTGAGCTGAGAGTGTGCCACTGCACTCCAGCCTGGGCGACAGAGCAAGAAGCTGTCTCAAAAAAAAAAAAAAAAAAGAAGTAAAAATAAATAATAAAATTATTCAGTGAATCACCATCATAATTTGGGAGAGAGTTGAAAAACCTCACTATAGCAACCTTTTCAGTGCAGCTCCTGTGTATATATTCCTCATATACTCCCAGAACTGCTATCGTGGGGCACCCCAGTTCCCTCTCTTGTAATTTAGTGGCTTTTCACATACAGCCTGACCTGCCTGGTGCCCATCGTGCATTTCTTCTCTCCACCAACTAACTCAACTGACCAGCTCCACTTCATCCTTCAGGAGGCACTCAAGTACCAGCCCGGTGATGGGGACCCTTCTGTTCTTTTTCTCCTCTGCCTTCTATTCCCACACTGCCCTATAGCTGTATAACATGGTACCTATGTTGGGTTTTTTTTTTTTTTTTCACCATTTTAATCAGGGAGCTTTCTTTTACAGCATTGTCCTGCTATTTGTTTGACCCTACTCAATCGTAGGGTCAAGGTCCTTGAGCACATAGTCCATTTTATGTCTCTCTCAACTCTCAGCCCATAGGATGACACCTGGTACTTTGTACATACTTTAACATTTGTTGAATTAACCAGAAAATATAAACAAGGTACTTTACATATAAACTTTGAGATAACAAATATGCTAACTTGACTTACATTCATAAATGTAGATCAGTTTCTCCTGCCCAAGATTTTTAAAAATAAAAGTTTGGCAAAATTAGTTATTCAGGATGTCCTATAAAAAGGACACAAATATGCCACAGGCACATATTTCAAATTTCCACTTTTAAAATCCTCAGGGAGTAAATTTTAGTTTCCTTTTAAATATATGAATTAGGTCAACTCATCAACTTTTAAAGTGATCTCTGGTAAACTAGAAGAATCCATCTCATTGGGAAGTTACTTGATCTGGTGTGATGTTATCTTTTAGAGGTGAAAGAATTACTGAGTGTTCTAGTTTTTATCACTTCCAGATCACCTCTGAGAAGAAAATGCTCAGAAGTAACGTTGGAGGGAGACAGGGCGGGGGTGGAGGGAGGGAGGACACAAGGGAGATCTGATCCTCCAGTTATGTGAGTGATGAAGTTAACGATGAATTGGAGCTATTGTGTCCACAGTCTCCTGCTGGGTCCTTGTCAAGACTTGGAAGTATTTTCCCTCTTAATCCTCATCCCCTAAACCTGGATCCTGAGTGGCTTCCTCTGTGAAACATATAATTTCCAAAGCACTTGTCTTCCAACTGAATCTGTTAACCAACTCCCATGTGCCTGTCTGTAAAGTGTGTATAAACAGTACATATATAGCATTATTTTGGAGTCCAGTTATACCAGTTTGACCCCACAGATACTAGTGCGTTTATAAATCATCATCATCCACAACAGCCACTGTATCTACGTTAGTGAGGCTAGATAGTGTATAGTAACTTGGAATTGAGTTACATTTTGTATTTTAGGAGGTGGATCTTACTAATCCCAAGACGTTTAGAAACCTGGCTAAGCCAATGGGAGCACAAACAGATGAACGATTAGCTCAGTATAAGAAGCGGTATAAAGACTGGGAGGATCCTAATGGTAAGGAACTTTTTCTGTCATTGGACTTTGTACCCAAGTTTCAAAAGTAAGTCATTATGTAGCGGTCTGACATTCCTACATCCTCCTTCAAATTGCTTATATATCATATCTATATGTATTATATGTCCACACATATATGCAGATTATTATAGCAGAGGAATCAGGTTTGCATGCCAACTTATGGCCATGCTTAGAAGGCATTTTAAATAGCTTATCAGAGTATTGGTGGAAAACTAAGTATTCCTGCTTTGCATAGGGCAGAAATTTCCCATCATAATCTGCCTCTGTCTCTAATCATGTTTAGTCCAGGAACCATACTTTAATTTATTGTCTCTCTTTAATTTTATTGAGGCAATTTTGGAACCCTTTTGCATTTAAAAAAAATTACTATACTCTAAAACCTTATAGTTTACTTGTTATTTATTATGTTTAATGTTTATGGTGTTTCTCCCTCAAAAAGGCAAAACAAAGGAGAAAGAAAGCCTAAGCTTGTAGTCCTATGTGAACTCTTTTTTCCCACCCCCTCTCTGCCAAGGAGAATATGTAGTAAAAATACATAAAAGTGCTTAACATTCATAAACAATGATTTAGAGAAATATATAATTGCAAAGCCAGAACCTAATAAAAACTATAAGTCAATATCCTGCTTTAGTGGAAGATGGTCTACTATTAAGGGTTAACTATTATAGTAAGCCTCAAAACATGAAATTGGTAGACATACTAAGTTTGTGGGAATAGGCCATTGAATTATACTTAATCTGGACTACTGTCAAATATAGAAGAGAGGGGTAGTGGTGTCCTGAAGTTTTCCTGCTGCAAATGCCAGTACTAATTGCATTTAGTGTTACAGTTATCACATAGGCTAGCATTTTCAAGCATAAATTAATACCAATTTTATTTTTCATATTTCTTCTTTTGGTTTCAATTGTGCTTTAATTTTCTTAAACAGGAGAAACTCCTGCATACCACTATGGGACCCACTATTCATCTGCAATGATTGTGGCCTCATACCTTGTAAGGATGGAGCCTTTCACACAGATATTCTTAAGGCTACAGGTAAAACTTTAAATTTGGGGTTTTTCTATTTTATACAAGCCTACTTCTATCTAAAATGTCACCTTTTAAAACATCATTATCTTCTATTATAAGAAGCTCTGCGAAATTTTAGTGACAAAGTAGTTACATAACTAAAGTAGAATTTTGTTGGACCAAAATTGATTAATGAACTAGAATTCGCTTAGAACAAATAAGTGCCAGCATCCTTTAATCAAATACATAAGTAGCATACATTTTTCAACCAGCCCTAACTGGTTGAATTAAACAATTTTTATTTTACAAAAACATGATATATTCCAGCTCATTCTCTGTTTCCTCGATTATAATTGCTTTTCTGTACATTCTCATTCATTTATTCAGCAAATATTTAATAAATACCTACTGTGTGCCAGGCACTGTTCCAGGTACTTGGGAGGACTTCAATTAATAAAGAGAAAAGCCTTACCTGTGCAGTTTATGTAATTCAGTTGAAGGAGACAGCCAGAAATCAAAAATAAGAAAATTGTAAGGTGTTTCAGAATGTGATAAAAGCTATCAGAAAGATATAGGTCCAGAAAGGGGGATGGGAAGTGGGGAGAACAGGAGGTTGGGCAAGGTGGGATGCAGTTTTAAGTAGAGTGGTCAGAGTAGGTCTCCTGTGAAAAAAAGTCTAAAGGAGGTAAGGGTGTTGCTTCTGCAGACATCTGGAGATACGTGTTCCAGGCAGAGGGAAGAGCTTGTGCAAGGGCTCTAAGGCAGGCTTGTACCTGGCATGTTCGAGGAGCAGCCCGGGGGCCAGTGTGTCCAGAATAGAGTAAGTAAGGAGGAAAGTTAGTTGTAGGGGAAGAGTTCGACAAGGAAACAGGCTAGATTGTATGGCAGACATTGGCAGCCATGGCATGGACTTTGGCATTTTCCCACAGTGAGCATCGTAAGACAGGTACACCATGTTAACTTAAAACACAGCAGCATAGGGGGCTTGACTGAAGAAGATGGATAGTGTACCTGTGAGGCTGCGTAGTGAAAAATATCCCTTTTCTATTTTAATTTGCTTCATCGGTCTGTAACTGATCACCTTTTCTAATTCTCCATTTAATTTTCATTAGTATGAGAACTTGCATATCATGTTAATTTATAAAATTAGCCAAACATAATTTGAATGTTTCCAACTGTAGATGATTTACATTAGAATCTTTTCTTGTGATGGCATCATCAAACTATGGAAGAACTCATATTTCTTGTTTGTTTGGTTTTTTTTTTTTTTGAGACAGAGTCTCGCTATCCCCCAGGCTGGAGTGCAGTGGCACGATCTCGGCTCACTGCAGGCTCCGCCCCCTGGGGTTCATGCCATTCTCCTGCCTCAGCCTCCCAAGTAGCTGGGACTACAGGCGCCCGCCACCTCGCCAGGCTAATTTTTTGTATTTTTAGTAGAGACGGGGTTTCACCGTGTTAGCCAGGATGGTCTCGATCTCCTGACCTCGTGATCCGCCCGCCTCGGCCTCCGAAAGTGCTGGGATTACAGGCGTGAGCCGCCGCGCCCGGCCAGAACTCATATTTCTTACAGCCTTGTCCTCTCTTTAAAATCTACTATTTTTTGGATGACTTTTTAAAATCTTTACATTTGGATTTCAGTTTGATTATAAAAACAAATGCAGAGAGAACCCTCTGTAAGGATTACCCCAAAGAGAATTAGATGTTTTATGTTTATTAAAAATTTGTGCGTATTTAATGTAGGATAATGGGAAATTGAAATGTCACCAACTATAGTTGGAGTTTTCAAGCTCTTGAACTTGACAGAAGCTGTCAGGTGGGAACGGTTCTCTAATAGAGAGGTGTCTTATTCTGCCCACAGGGTGGCCACTTTGACCTGGCTGACCGGATGTTTCACAGTGTGCGCGAGGCCTGGTATTCAGCGTCAAAGCACAATATGGCAGATGTAAAAGAACTTATCCCAGAGTTCTTTTATTTACCAGAATTCCTGTTCAATTCCAACAACTTTGATCTAGGTACGTAGAGCTATGGCACTGTCTTAGGAATGTTAGCCAGGAAAAGTCCAATAGAAATAAGTCACTTCTCTGAAGATTGTCTGCAGCACACATTAACAAGAAAAAAATTTGATACAGTTTCTTGCAGTCATTTGCTGTAATTGGGTGTGGTTACATGTGATTTTTGTCGTTACAAAAATTAGCCAGACGTGGTGGTGGGCACCTGTAATCCCAGCTACTTAGGAGGCTGAGGCAGGAAAATTGCTTGAACCTGGGAGGTGGAGGTTGCAGTGAGCTGAGATCGTGAACTGCACGCCAGCCTGGGCAACAGAGCGAGACTCCGTCTCTAAATAAATAAATATTGAGACAGATTACTCCCAACATTTAGAATTTCGTTGTTTTGATGAAAACAGAGGTGAAAATTTATTGAAAAGTATTACTATTGAAACCCATTAATAGCTAAGAGTGGTACATCCAAATTTTCCATGTATTGTTTTAATCTTGTTTATTGCCTAATACATTCTCAGTTCATAGGCTAATGTGTTTTAAAATTAGAACTTCAGAATAACTTTAAGTAAACCCCTTTTCTTTATCCTGTAAGGACTCTATTTTCTAGAAAAACAGGACCAAATCAGCATTTATAAAAACAAGAAAAACTCCATCAGTGCTGTTTTTATATTATCTGGCTGTTAGAGGAAGTGGATTTGACTTTGGTTACAGTTTCTTGGAACACAGTTTGCTGATCTATGCTTCTGAGTATTTCTTTTAAAGCATATCAAAATTCCATTGTTTCCATGTGAGAATATTCCTGCCAGATATTTGTTGTTTTATATTTTTTTCATTCCTTGTATTTTCTACTGTTTTGTAAGAGTTAGCACATAAATTATAACTGTACTACCTCCAAATTTTCATGAACAGAAAATACAGGGAAGTGTTTGTATCCTATACATATGAAAGATATTTCTATTTGAAGTTTTCTAAAGATAATTTTTATGTATTTAATTGTCCATCAGCAACTCTACCTTTGTGAAATGGGAAAGATAACAAGGCTGTCTCCAGAGCCCCAGGAAAAGTCTGAAATTGATTTTCATTACCTGTAATTATGCCTAGAGCTCACCCTTGAGCAGCTAAAGACACAACTTTAGGACTTAGAATTAGAGAAAGTGATGGGTTTTCCCAAAAGAATAGAATAGTCAACGAGAACAATCAACAAATACCTGCTATAGCCTTTGACTGTGAATGCACATTAACATTTTCTTTTATTGAGACAGAGTCTTGCACTGTCGCCCAAGCTGGAGTGCAGTGGCATGATCTCTGTTCATCGCAACCTCCGCCTTACAGGTTCAAGCAATTCTCGTGCTGCAGCCTCCCAAGTAGCTGGGATTACATGCGCCACCACACCTGGCTAATTCTTTTTCAAATTTTTAGTAGAGACGGGGTTTCCCCATGTTGCCTAGGCTGGTCTGGAACTCCTGACCTCAAGTCATCTGCCCGTCTCAGCCAAGTGATCTGCCCGTCTCAGTGGTTACAGGCGTGAGCCACCACGCACAGCCACATTAGTGTTTTCTTATGTTCACTTATAATTCAACTTTGGAGAACGTTGCCTTCTTCCCCAGGGATACCACTGTCAAAGAGACAAATATGGAGAGGTGCAGAAAGAAAGAGATAGCTCATAATCTTCCAGAAACATCTATCACTTATGATAATCCATGTTGCAAAGGTGTTCCAGACCGACCACTTACAAACCCAACTAACCAATCTACTTTTAAAATAAGTAAATAAAAAAAGGAGGATGTATCTTTATCATGTTCACCCTCATAACAAATTATCTTCCCTCCTTGAAATAGCATACTTTAAAAAACAGTGGTTGGGCCAGGCATGGTGGCTCACACCTGTAATCCCAGCACTTTGGGAGGCCAAGGCAGGTGGATCACTTGAGCTCAGGTGTTCAAGACCAACCTGGGCAACATGGCAAAACCTCATCTCTACAAAAAATACAAAAATTAGCTGGGCGTGGTGATGTGCACCTGTAGTCCCAGCTACTCAGGAGGCTGAGGTGGGAGGATCACTTTACCCCAGGAGTTGAGGCTGCAGTGAGCCGTGTTCGTGCCACTGCACTCCAACCTGGGTGATAAAGTGACACCTTGTCTCCAAAACAAAACAAGACAAAACACTGTTTGTATATAAAACCTAAAATCATACGACTCTTATGAGAAAACATAGGGGTAAATCTTCATGATCTTGAATTTGGCAATATATTCTTAAATATGATATCAAAATTACAAGCAACAACAACAAAAGATAAATTGGATTTAATCAAAATTAGAAGTTTCTGCATCCAAGAATGTTACCAAGAAAATGAAAAGATGCCTATAGAATGGAAGAAAATATTTGCAAATAATATATCTAATAAGGATCTAGTATCCAGAATATAAACAACTTTTATAACTCAACAACAAAAAGACAAACAACCCAGTTGGAAAATGGGCAAAGGGCTTGAATAGACAATTTCCCAAATAAGTTATACAGATGGCCAGTAAACTCATGAAAAGATGCTGAACATCATTAGTCATTAGGGGAATGCAAATCAAAACCACAATGAGATACCACTTCATATTTACTAGGATGACCATAATGGGGTGGGGGGAACTGAAAAACAACAAGGGCTGGCAAAGGTATAGAAAAATTAGAACCCTCATACATTGCTGGTGGGAGCATAAAATGGTTTAGCCACTGTGGGAAGTAGTTTGGCAGTTCCTCAAAAAGTTAAACAGAATTACCATATGACCCAGCAGTTCCACTCCTTGGTATATAGAATTGAAAACGCAACTCAAGTAAGTATGTGTGTGAGCATGTTCATAGTAGCATTATTCACAATAACCGAATGGCAGAAACAGCCCAGATGTCTATCAAGTGATGAGTGGATAAACCAGTTGTAGCATATACATACAGTGAAATATTATTCATCCATGAAAGTGAATGAGGCACTAATAAACTCTACAATGTGATTGAACCTCAAAAACATTACGCAAAGTGAAAGAAGCCAGACAAAAACAGTCACATATTGTACATTTCCATTTATAGGAAATACTCAGAATAGGTAAGTCCACAGAGACAGGACACAGATTGGTGTTCTGGGGCTGGGTTGAAGGTAATACGGGCAGCTACTGATTAACAGGTACAAGATTACTTTGGTGGTGATAAAAATGCTTTGGGACTAGATAGAAATCGTGGTTGCGTAACATTGTGTCTGAACTAAATGCCACTGCATTGTTCCCTTTAAATGGCTGGCTTTATGTGAATTTCACCCCAATAGAAAAAAAAAAAAACAGTTTGCCTCTTCACACAGAAAAAATAGTAAATGGTGTAAAAGAAAACACACTTGGGGCTGGTCGCAGTGGCTCACGCCTGTAGTTCCAGGACTTTGGGAAGCTGAGGTGGGCAGATTGCTTGAGGCCAAGAATTCGAGACCAGCCTGGCTAACATGGTGAAAACTCATCTCCACTAAAAATACAAAAATTAGCTGGGCATCGTGGTGTGTGCCTGTAATCCCAGCTCCTCAGAAGGCTGAGGCACAAGACTCACCCGGGAGGCAGATGTTGCAGTGAGCCAAGATCATGCCACTGCACTCCAGCCTGGGCAACAGAGCAAGACTCTGTCTCAAAAGAAAAAAAGAAAGAAAGAAAAAGCACTTGGATTTTTTTTTCCCCTTGCTATGAGATAAGTAATATTCACCCTGGGGTCTTCTTGTCCATGCATCCTTGGATACACATGGAGGAGAGCTTCAGAATAGCAAAATTAAGGGCGGAGCACTGGCTCTTGCCTATAATTCAAGCACTTTGGGAGGCCAAGGTAGGAGCATCACTTGAGGCCAGGAGTTCAAGATTAGCCTGAGCAACAGAGCAAAACCTCGTCCCTTCAAAATAAAATAATTAGCCAGGCATGGTGGCACGTGCCTGTACGTGGGAGGCTGAGGTGGAAGGATCACTTGAGGCCAGGAGCTCAAGGCTGAAGTGAGCCATGATTATACCACTGCACTCCAGGCTGGACAGCAGAGCAAGACCCTGTCTCAAAAAAAAAAAATATATATATATATATTATATAGAATTAGACAAAGGCTTTCCTGCAGACTATGTTATCTTTATATGTCATTTTAAAATTGCATATAGTGTTCATAAAATAAAATTCTATCAAATAAGTATTCAAGGATTGTAGCAAAATTTGGAAAAGTAATTTCTATCTCAAGTAGCCTTTTTACCTGTTTATTATTACCAAAAAATTAGACCTAGTGGGCATTTCAGGGAGATTCAACAGACAGCGTGCAGTGTGTGTGGTTGAGGAGGAAGGGTTGTAATAACTTGATTTATTTTTGTTGTAAATCATATGGTAACCTTTCCAACCAAGTCAAGACATTCCTTTAAACAACAAACTGATATTTGTACCACTCGATATCACATTGTAAATAAACCATCGACTAGCAATGATAAAGGCAAGATTGTATCTAAGGGAGATATTTTATTCGCTTCCACTTGGAATTGGCTTTGTGTTCTAAAATTTGAACAACTGCATTTCTGTATGAAAATTTCCAGAACAAGTATTTATCTAACCAACTGCTATTAAACTAGTGAGTCAACATTGTTGTTTGTAGAGTCATTTTTACAATGATAATCTGATTTGTATCTATAAAAACTCTGTAAGCTAAAGTGACTTTTTTGGTATATTTCAAAAAGAAGAAAAACACCCTTTTTGTTTAGATGCAGCCAAATTTAATATATTTTGATGTGGATAGATTTCACAGTGAATGGTTTCTTTTATATTTTAGAAATTATCTTGGCTATCACTTAAAATAAGTTTATATGGAATAAATATTATTTATGTGCTTTATCACAACATGTTATTTTTTGTTTTTGACAGGTAGCCCTATAGTTTTTCCAAATATTTTTTCTGTTAAATGATGCAATAACAGCAAAAAGTTACGTCATTTCAGATTTTGCTTTTTAAATGAGAATGCTTACTGCAAAATACATGCCAGTTCTACAGAGCTCTTTTGAGAACCTAAGAGTCAGCGATATGAGAAACCTCTTGTATTACAGATATCTACAGTAGACTGTGTCCAGGAGATTCAAGACAGTAACCCTGCAAAATGTTTTGCTGAAAAGGAGTCTTGTGGTCAATTAAATTTCAGACATTTTGTGTTTGATATCCCTCTTAGAGAAGGGCAGTGCATGTTAGCATATTAAACCTCCGAGGAGTCCTGCGCTCAAGACTCTGCAGAAAGAAGCATGTTTCGCTTGGTATAACTCAGCATTTCCTGAAGACATTGGCAGTGAGGGCCTCAGTTTTGCTGACTTAGTAACTCTTTCTGCTGGAGTGATCTGAGGAGCAGTCTTGAGGGATGCTAGAGTTGATAATCTCTGAAGTCCTTTCTGGTGTACAATTTTAGCGTTCTGGTATTGAATCTAACCCACCATTTCTCAGTCAGATTAATATAAAGTTACCATTTATCCCATTCTTTCTTTTTTTTTATTTTTAATGTATCCAATTGCATAGGCTGTAAACAAAATGGCACCAAGCTTGGAGATGTTATCCTTCCACCCTGGGCAAAAGGGGACCCACGAGAATTCATCAGAGTCCATCGTGAGGTAATGGAAGTACATTTTACAATTGAAGTTGAATTTCATTTGGTCATTGAACATAATACAAAGACAGGGCCTCTAGCCAGAGTACCACCTGTTTGTTACTAATACAGCCAGGTCCCCTTATCTACAGGGGATACATCCCAAGAACCCCAGTTGATGCCTGAAACCAGGAATAGTACCAAACCCTATATATATATATAAACTATGTATTTTCCTATACATATATAGCTCTGATAAAGGTTAATTTATATATTAGGCATAGTAAGAGATTAAGAATAGTAATAAAATAGAACAATCATAACAACCTACTAAGAGCTATGTGAATGTGATCTCTGTCTCTCACTCTCATAAATATAATAATATTTTCAAACCATGGTTTACTGCAGGTAACTGAAACCTCAGAAAGTGAAACCACAAATAAGAGGGGAATACTATGTTGTTTTTATGATTTTTAGTTATTTTAGTTCCTATTAACCACTTACCAAGGTTTTTCTAGTCTCTGAGCAAGTAATAGAAGTCAGCCAGTGACTAAACCTATGTTTGAAATTACAGGCTTTGGAGTGTGATTACGTGAGTGCCCATCTACATGAGTGGATTGACTTAATCTTCGGTTATAAACAGCAAGGCCCTGCTGCAGTAGAAGCTGTAAATGTCTTCCATCATCTTTTTTATGAGGGTCAAGTGGATATCTACAACATCAATGACCCACTAAAGGAGACAGCCACAATTGGGTTCATTAATAACTTCGGTCAGATCCCTAAACAGGTATGGATGTTTTTTTCTTGTCATTGATGTACTCTGTTTCATTTTGTAACATTTCTCTAGATTGTAGATTACCACAAAATAATTAAGTTTAGATTAACTTAATAAAGAGCCATAAATATCACCTAGGATTTCAATAGATTCCTAGATTGTTGCTTTTTTCTCACTCTCACAGTCCAGATAAATAAAAATTTTTGTTTAAAGAGAATTATCCCTTACAGACTAATGCAGGGTATGCTTTCTTAAACCTCCATGAGATGTAACAGGAGGGGCCTTATAGGCCACATACACAGAGACAAGGTTTTGTCTGGAGGCCAGTGGGAAACCAGTGCTGATTTTAGGCAGAGAAATGACATGGTCATATTTAAACTTTAGAAGTTCATTCTGGCCTCAGTCAGAATAAACTACTCTATGCGTGCCTCTCTCTCTCTCTCTCTCTCTCTCTCTCTCTCTCTCTCTCTCTATCTCTCTCTGTCTCTGTGTGTGTGTGTCTGACACACACACACACACACACACACACACACGGGACCCAAATGGGGAGCGGAAGACCACTAAGAAAGCTATTGTGGTAGTTCAGAGAACAGATGATGATGGATTGGGTTAGATTGTTGACATAGGCCTAATAAGTGCTGTGCTGTGAGAGCACGTGCCATAGGAGTGCCTAGGACACGCAATAGCTGCCCTCACCACCTTCTGGAACTTGGAGAGGAAGACCAAGATCTAAGCCTCTCAGCACCCAGATACTGTAGGCCTGTTTCATGTTCAGTGATGAGCAAACCTCCATGAAGAGACCTCATCCCTTCTGTCATCCCCATTGTCCGAGGTATGGCAGGAGGGCTGGGTGCACCAGAAGTAACTGCAGCACTTCTCCACAGTGTGGAGAAGGCACACTTTGACGAGCTGGTGAGGCCACCCACCTTTACTAAGTACCAGTGGCTCATACTTTGATCCTGGCTACCTCCTCTTTTCCTGCTTTAGATGTCTCTACGGACTCCCTTTTTGTAGGTTAACTTGAGGTTTCCAGGGTTGACACTTGAGAACACACAAAACAATGGCTCATCTCTTTATATCTTTATATAGAAAAGCCATGATAGATAGCAGGACATGCTGTAACTGTACCATTTACAATGCAGTCTGATCCCCTAGCAATGTGATCCCCTAATAAAAGAAACATGTTTACTTTTATTTTTATTTATTTTTATTTTATAGAGATAGAGTCTCACTATGTTGCCCAGGCTGGTCTTGAACTCCTAGACTCAAGCAGTCCTCACACCTCAGCTACCAAAGTGCTGGGATTACAGGCATGAGCTACGGCGCCTGGCTGTGTTTACTTTTAAAGCAAAATGCTTGCTGATAAATTATTCACAGTTGAAGAATATTAGCTATACCTTTATTTAGTTAACTTTTTTCTTTTTCCTGAGAGTTACAAGGGCTGGAGCCATCTTTCATACCCTAGGGGAAATACATATTCTGAACATAAAAATCAAGACACTTGCACTGTTGCAGGATTTTTGTGCTACTTTGAAGTAGAAGAGGCCAGAAGTCTGGGAAGTATCGTTTGGATGCCAACATATTTCTGGGACACACATTGAGTAATAGAGGGTACTTTCAAGTAAAGCCATCCTCAGAAATGTAGGTTTTATGGTCATCATCTCCATACATCATTATATACCCGCAGCCTGGCGCAGTGCTCTCTCCTTAGGTCCTCACGTAAAAGTGCTTCAGTAAATGCACATTCATGAAAGTGCTTTAAAACTATGTATCTTTATAGAAGCCTGATCTTATAGTCCTTTATGTAGATAAAATAGGAATAAAACATTTAAAGATTTGAGAGTCTGGAATGTGTATCTTCCTCTGCACAAAGAATTTTTTCTGTTTTTTTCCCTTGGAAACCCCAAATATCTAATTTACAAAGTGTGATGGTGTCGTATTTATCTTAAATCTCATTTCATTTAAAGTTTTTCAGATCTCCTCCTCAAATACTAGTTTTCCAACAGAAACTACTCTATGCCTGTCTCAAAGATTTACAATAATTGAAAAATAGTAATCTTAAATGTACTTTTTTTTTTTTTTTTTTGAGACGGAGTCTCGCTTTGTTGCCCCAGGCTGGAGTGCAGTGGCGCAATCTCGGCTCACTGCAACCTCCACCTCCTGGGTTCAAGCGATTCTCCTGCCTCACCCTCCCAAGTAGCTGGAACTACAGGCGTGTACCACCACGCCCAGCTAATTTTTGTATTTTTAGTAGAGACGGGTTTCGCCATATTGCCCAGGCTGGTCTCGAACTCCTGACCTCATGATCCGCCTGCCTCAGTCTCCCAAAGTGCTGGGATTACAGGCATGAGCCACCTCACCCAGCCATTAATATTTTTAATCCTGTAGAAATACAGAATGACGATGTAGCACATTTTTGTTTTCTTTTTTCCCTTTACAACATAGCAAAGCACAAAGAAGATGATAATATTCACACTTTCAGCAAATCAGTAGCACCTTTTTAGGACACCAAAATGATATTTCTAAATCACATAAAGGCCACATTGAAACCAGAAATAATCCAACTAGATAGAGTGTCTGCCTGCCTTCAATGGCACAGAATGGTATTAGGCTACTGAGAGTTAACTTTTGAATATCATTGGAAAATAATTGTCAATCAACTGTAGATTGACTTTCTTTGAGAAAGTTATTGTGAATTCAGCTTAGCATAGAACAAGACAATAGCCCATGCTTTAGTATCATAGTCCTGTCCCTGCTTATTCAGGTGTGAGTTCTCTGGCCACCTTCATAGCGTCTTTGAATCTCTTTCCTCGGGTGTAAAATGAGGATAATATAGTACCTAATAGTTCTTGTGAACCTTAATTGAAATAAGAACACAATGCCTGGCATATAAAAGGGCTTATAAGTGTTATCTTTCATTATAAAGTGAGTCATCTTCTTTCATACCAGTTATTTAAAAAACCTCATCCACCAAAGCGAGTGAGAAGTCGACTCAATGGAGACAATGCAGGAATCTCTGTCCTACCAGGATCTACAAGTGACAAGATCTTTTTTCATCATCTAGACAACTTGAGGCCTTCTCTAACACCTGTAAAAGGTAAAATAATGAGAAATAAACTTTTGATTAATGATTTAATGGGATTGTTAATAATCCCAGTTTAACAATAACAAATTTGCTTTTTGACGATAGCATAATTTGTTTAATAAGTGCCATACATTTTGTGTTAGATTACTAAATACCTACTAGTATTTATATTTTCTCTTTTTGCTTTTTTTTCTCTGTTTTCTTTTTTTGGCTTGTTGGACTTCATATCAGAAAGAACCAAACAGTCTTCTCTCTCCTCTTTAAGATAATCAAAGCTCTAAAATACCAAAACCTTGTAAATTCAACTTTATAGATAAAAAAAATTTGTCTTCATAATTTCATTCTCATTTAAATATATTCTGCCTATCCGATATATTAGTAAAAGAACACATTTTTAGTATGCCAATGAAAAGACATCTGTGTTTTATCTAATGGTATAATGGGATATCTAAAAATATTTTTTCAAGTAGGTTTTTTCCCCTTAGAATGAAAAAAAAAAAGTTCTGCAAAATCTTGAAGTTGTCGCTTAAAAATATCCAAGAATTGGAACAAAATCTGGTTAACTTGTGTGCCATTCTATGCCATTTGTCCTCATTACACAGACTCTGCTCTGTGCCAGCGTCAGTCACTGTTGGCGATTCTTCTGGAGTAGTAATATGGTCATCAGAGTGCTGGTGTGGAGCAAGGAGTCCGTTCCTCTGGGGAATGACATGACCTTCCTTGAGGAAGTCTAAGGTCTGGCTATAACTTGGGAGGTACTAAAGACATAGGTTTGTTGATAATCTGTGTCCCTATGACATTCTGGGGAGCATCCCAGATTACTCTGTACAACCCTAGGGAGGCAAACCTGAATGGTAGTACCCAAACCAGAGAGTGCCCAGAAATAGGAAAGCTGGAGGAAAGTCCTGCAGAGGCCCTGTTAGGTTGAACATTCCACCCAGCAGGTCTTGTAGGAGATTCAAAAGCCCAGCTCTATTTCAGAGATCATTTTTTCTCAACGTAGGTATCAGGATGCTTGATTTATATGAATATTTGAAATTATCATGCTCTATGAGATAATGACATTAGTTTTTCCTGTTCCTGTCCTAATACCATGATTTCTTTTTTCTAGAACTCAAAGAACCTGTAGGACAAATCGTATGTACAGATAAAGGTATTCTTGCGGTGGAACAGAATAAGGTTCTTATCCCACCAACCTGGAATAAAACTTTTGCTTGGGGCTATGCAGACCTCAGTTGCAGACTGGGAACCTATGAGTCAGACAAGGTTTGCATTATTTCCTGCCTACTCATTTAATATTGCTCTTTTGTGGTCTGGCTATCCTATATGACTAATAGGGTTGGGGAGAACCCAGTCCAAGGGCTTGTCAGCTGTTCCTCCAAAGCCCAAAAGAAAAGTGAGCTTTCCTATTTGGGGAAAGGAGAGCTTCACTGAATGAGAGCAGGATAAAGGAGCTCATAGAGATGTCATGTTCCCTGCAGAACAAGCCTCTTTTGCAAAGTTGTGTAACAGGGGCTAGCAGTTTCCTTCTCACTCAAAGAATTCCTCCGAGAGATCCTAGCCAGCAAGGAGCTCAGCATTTCTGTCAACCAGAATAGCCTCCTTTTGATGAGTCACCATCTGCCCCACTTTTCATTTTAGTGCTCCAAACAAGCTGGCAGAAAACCTGTTGCTCCATCCCACAAGAAGCAACAGCAACTGTTTTGGGTCCCATAAGTACCTCTTGGAGAGACAATCCATAGTGATCCTTTAGTGCCCTGTGTTTGCCCTCCAACAGTCCCTTCCCAAATGCAAGACGAAAAGAATCTGCATAGTCTGTTATGTTGCTTTGTAACACGATTCCATTTTGTTGATGTTCTCCTTAGCAGCAGTCGTGCTCTCTTTTCACATTCTGTCTACAGCAAATGCATCCTTTTGCCACATTGTCCCCTGCACCTTCCATAGATCACACAATTTGAGCATCACTTTCCCAATCTGGAGAAACCAGAGACCCCCATTATGAGCAAAGTCCTTTTTGGTTATGGCTTTCAGCAGCAACAATAGTTTGGAGGCGGTAGGGGTAGTTCAGGGTAGAGATTCAGTGGATATGCTTCTGAACTAAAGCTAGCTCAGAACATGAGCCGCTATTTGCTGGTGAGGTGCCTGCACCTTCACTCAATTCTGCTCCTTGAGTTTCAGAAGTTTGTATAGTACTTAACGGCATGTGTGTCTCACATCCGTTTTACTTTATAGGCCATGACTGTTTATGAATGCTTGTCTGAGTGGGGCCAGATTCTCTGTGCAATCTGCCCCAACCCCAAGCTGGTCATCACGGGTGGAACAAGCACGGTTGTGTGTGTGTGGGAGATGGGCACCTCCAAAGAAAAGGCCAAGACCGTCACCCTCAAACAGGTAAGAGAGAACATAGAAAATGCCAAGAAGGACATAGTCCATCTCCTGTGCCTACACCCTGTAGGAAGTAAAAAGCTTCCTTAATTCTGAGGTACTTCAGATCTAATGGACAAAACCAAAGTGACGTTCTGTTGCTAGAAATACTTTTTTGAAAAAAAAAGGAAATCAGAATAGGTTGTTTCTAACAATGATCTAAGCCGGTCCCTTTGTTAAAATCTGAAGAAAGTTATCTTTAGGTAACATATATTTCAGTGTATTTAAGTAATATAAATGCAAAAGTCTAAATTGAATTTTTGCAAACTGAATTATGTTTGCTATTGACTCATATTAATTTCCTTCCAGGGTGATTTCCATTTATCTGCCACTAAATTCTTTATTTTTTGTTTCTCTCTTTTCTCATTTGTCATATACTTAAGGATATGCCAAACTCATGAATATATTCAGTAGAGCCCTTGATGATTTAATTAACGAGTATTTCTGATTGTCTATTACATACATGATTCTATTATTAATTTTTACTTAAAGCAAGAGTCCTTTTATAATTAAGCCATTTCTTAATATTTGATCTGTGAGAGAACTTACCATAAGGTATTTTTTAAATAAGGAGCATATATCTAAGTATTTTTAATGATATAAATTTGAAAAATAATGTAACAATACCACTTATCAATTATTGAGCACCTCTATTTCAGGGGACTGTGTTGAGTATTCTACAAATACAAAACTCTAGTCGACACAATTCTACAAGGTAGTTATTAGCCCCATTTTACCCCTGAAAAAGACACAGGTTAGAGTGGTCAAGACACAAGTCTAAAGTCACATGTAGCAGTAAAGCTATAATTTAAATTAAGTTCTGTCTGACTTCAAAGCTATTATAAAGCCAAACTCAAACAGTGGTGTCATAAATACCTATAGAAAAAAATTGAACCCCTGTTCAGTATAAAACTGAATCATCTGTATAGGCCAGAAACTTCACAGAGTTGCTGGGTCCTGAGGCAAGCCATATAAAGAGGGAGAAAGTCTTGAAGTGAACAGATTACAAGGTTAATAGTACATTTTGCTGATTCAAATTATGCTTAAAAATATTTTCCATTTAGAAAATGCACTTTGAAAGTAATGTGCCAGGAAAAAGGACTTCCTGCTTAAAATAGTTTCCTGGGGTTTGCTAAGCATGCAATAAAGATGTCTATATGACCAAAATTTTAAGCCAACTCTTTTTTTATATTATGCACACACACACATATATATACTTCATGTGTATACACAGATAGTTTTCTCTCTCAAAAGTATTAAAAAATTTATCAACCTTCAATCTGTAAAAAATACCTACTCTACATGATAGCAAAATCTCTCCTCCAAGTTTACACTGATTTACACCCAAGGCTTTCCCCAAATGTACAATAGGAGGCAACCTCTTACATTCTAGTGTGGAAGGCGGCAGATGAAGCCAACTCATTATTAAGCGGATATATTTTTCTGCCAGGGCAGATGGCCCATTCTAAGTACTTAGGAACTACTAACAGTAATCTAAATCTTTTTCTTCAGAATATTTACTTATTTTCACACATTGCCATTTCCTTGGGTCCTTTTTCTCTTCATATTCCAGCAAAAGAGGGAAGTTCTTTTTCTAGTTTAAAGAAAGAATTCCTCTCAGGCACAGATACTCAGATATCTCCGATTGGCAGCAGGACTTCAGCATGTTGACGCCTCAGGACTACATTCTCGCTTTGTCTATTGTAGACCACGTGCTACAGCCATGTGGTTCTCGCAGTTTATGCATTTTTTTAAAAAAAAATTCATTCAATTGTAATTCTTTAGAATGGTCTGAACAGGAGTTTGTGGCATAAAAGAATGGATATAGAGTTGAAATTCTGTATTTTTGATGCCCATAATCAATACATCTCTACATAAAAATGGTATAAAGAAACCCAAGCTGGGTTGTGGTTGTCATTCCCTCTTCCTTCTAAGATCCTGGCCCAACTCCAGGAAAGAACTAATGTGAAAGTAAAGAGCCTCCAGAGTGCTCCAGGCTTCTCTCTACCCCCGTGGGCTGAGGCAAGGGTAGTCAGCAGGAGGAGAAAGGAGGTCTGCCTTCCAGACTCTCCAGACACCACTGCTCAAGTCACCTACTACCTAGCATGCGTGCCACTGCTTCCTGATGCATCCAGGAGCTTCTGGAGTCACTGTGGAACCCTGTCACTGAGATCAACCTGATTTTGTTTGTTTGTTCTCATTCGTAGGCCTTACTGGGCCACACTGATACCGTCACCTGCGCCACAGCATCATTAGCCTATCACATAATTGTCAGTGGGTCCCGTGATCGAACCTGTATCATTTGGGATTTGAACAAACTGTCATTTCTAACCCAGCTTCGAGGGCATCGAGCTCCAGTTTCTGCTCTTTGTATCAATGAATTAACAGTAAGTAGTAAATTGCCCACTTATGTTTAGGTAAACAAGTAGTCTTGGCCAAACTCAATTAAAAATGGTGGGGCTCAGGGGAACATGTCTGAGTTGCAGCTGCTCAGGAGGCTACCGCAGGAGGATTAGTTGAGCCCAGGACTTCTGGGCTGTAGGCACTATACCCATCAGGTGTCTGCACTAAGGTCAGCACCGATTTGGTGACCTCCTGAAAGTCAGAGACCACCAAGTTGCCTAAGGAGGGGTGAACCAACTCAGGTTGGAAATGGAGCAGATCAAAATTCCCATGCTGATCAGTGGTGGGCTGTGCCTGTGATAGCCATTGCACTCCAGCCTGGGAAACAGCAAAACACTGTCTCTTAAAAAAATAAATAAATTTTTCTTCTAAAAAAATGACTCATTGTTTTTGAAGTTGATAGATACTCATTTTATAAAAGTTACTACCTTTTCTTTGATTTAGTGTTGTTTGAAAAGCAAATAGATGTTAAAGTTTGTAATCCAGAGAGCAGTTTTGTCTTAAAATCCATTCACTGCTCCATGCAGTAGAGAGAACAAAATTTGATTAAAATAAAACAAAGCTTTCTAGAATATGTTTTTTTAAAAAACAGGAAATTTGTAGGATTTGTTAAGAATGTTAGAAATTGGCCGGGCATGGTGGCTCATGCCTGTAATCCCAGCACTTTGGGAGGTCAGTGCAGGCGGATCATTTGAGGTCAGGAGTTCCAGACCAGCCTGGCCAACATGGTGAAACTCCGTCTCTACTAAAAATAAAAAAATTAGCCGGGCTGGTGGTGGGTGCCTTTAATCCCAGCTATTTGGGAGGATGAGGCAGGAGAACCGCTTGAACCCGGGAGGTGGAGATGGCAGTGAGCCAAGATCGCTCCACTGCACTCCAGCCTGGACAATAGAGTGAGACTCAGTCTCAAAAAAAAGAAGAAGAAGGTTAGAAATGTGTTGAAAATTTTAATAAATTATAGTCAGAGTATGGAAAGTAAAAAGGGTGACATTTGGGTACCCAAACAAGAGAAAAATTCTTATATAGCTATTTTCAAAACAGATCCAGAAGTTATCAAAAGATGCTGTTTTCAGAAATAAATAGTTCATATACAAATAAATGAAAGAAGTCAAATAAAATAAATGCCCTCATCTAGGATCCCTCTACACATACCAAGCCTACCTGAAGCAGACGAGGGGATTCATTGCTAAGATGGTCTTGAAACGGGAAGCTTGAGGGCAGGTTTACAGAGACTAAGGCCTCACAAGCTTATCGCGTTAGTAAGTTGATGATGTGTGTCGCATTAGCAAGTAGATAATGTGTGTCAGCATGTAGGTGATGCCCCATATACAAATCCGTCTTGGGAGTCGACAGGAACCCACCCAAGCCTCATCGCCTCTTAGCTATACATATCCATTGCCACCTTACCCTCACCCCTACCACAGGGCCATCCTTCATGACACAGAACAGTTCTAGCCATGTCATTGAGTGACATTCACACCATCACCTACACAGACAGCTTTCCTCTTGAAGGATGCTGCATCTTTGATTTCTACCAGAAGTTACTCAGTATTAACACTTTTAGTCAACTATCTTGTAGTCACTTATTAAAAAAGGAAAAAGAAAGGAATTCACTTACAGTTGTCAATCACTTAGAGTGTTTGATTAATAATGGCAGACGTACTCAGGTTGAGAATGAGTGGGGGACATGCAAGGGTAGAAGAGTCAAATTTGTTTTTGTTTTTGTTTTTTGGGGTTTTATTTATTTATTTATTTATTTATTTTGAGATGGAGTCTCGCTCTTTTGCCCAGGCCTGACTGCAGTGGTGCTATGTCGGCTCAATGCAAGCTCCACCTCCCGGGTTCACGCCATTCTCCGGCCTCAGCCTCCTGAGTAGCTGGGATTACAGGTGCCCACCACCGCGCCCAGCTGATTTTTTTGTATTTTTAGTAGAGACGGGGTTTCACCGTGTTAGCGAAGATGGTTTCGATCTCCTGACCTTGTGATCTGCCCGCCTCGGCCTCCAAATTTGTTTTTTCTGTCTGAAAGGTTTAAGAGGTTTTCAGAACAACACCTTGGGTTGGTCCTGCAAACATTTGAACCAAAAGAGCTTTACAAAAATGTGGGTGCTGTAGAACTGCTCTTATGCAGCAGTGTTGAGTCAGATGCTTAATCAATTATTTGGAGCACTTTGTTTTGGGGTTGTTCTTAACTTAAATACTGATAATTTTATTATATAGCCAGTTGTTATTTGAGCCAGTGTACACTAGTGGATTGCAATATTTGCTGCAAATACTACAAAAGCAGTGTTTTCTTTTTAAGATGCTTTTGTAATATCTTAATAAGTCATGAAAAGATTTCTATTTCTGTTGTGTTTCTCCAACCAATATCAAGCCTGCTTTACTTCAGTTTACACTTCAGGCCAAAGCCACTTTGCCTTTAATTCTTCTTATGTCTCTGCCCTCATAACAACAGGATTTACTCTAATAAACTCTAATTAAGGCCCCAGAGTAACTGAAGAAGGTCTTGCCCAGTGCAGAATGGAGCAATTTTCTCTTGCAGAGACTAAAGCCACTAATTAAAACTCAATTGCTGACACTTATAGTCAGAAATGGTTCAGTAACTGATACAGAAGCAGACACAACAGTGCTTTGCTAAGTATTGTTTTGGTTTGGGTTTTGGTTTATTTCTTGCCATTTTGGTAGAAGAAGAGCTAGGGGGTGGGAGGAGCAAGGAGCAGCAGTAGCAAGACCAGCACAGACGGTGCAGCACAGACTGTGGATGGAACAGGCCCAGTCCTCCTCCTCACCCTACCCCAGCCTCCTCCACCTTACCTTTTTATGTGTTGATGCTGCTTTGCAGCTTCTAGTTCTCCTCTGTTTTTGCTGACCATCTTAAGACTTATGTAGGTTCTTATATATCTCCTGAGGGTACTGAACTTTACCAGGTCTTTTCTAAAGGTAATACCCAGCATTGTGACAAACAGACTATCTTAGGAATGAAAGAGGCAGCACGGTATGGTATATAAGCTTTGGCGCTATAGAAAGCTGGCTTCAAATCTCTGATGATAAATAAGTTACTTAAATTCTTTGCCCCTCACTTTCATCCTTTACAGCAGGGCTAGTGATAATCTCACAAGGTTGCTGTGTTAACTAGAACATCTGAAGTCTCCACCCCAGTGACTGGCACACAGGAGATGCTTCAGAAAGCATCCTCCTTTCTTTAACTATAGTGGGTTGTGTTCTTACCAGGTTAGGTAGAGCCCAGCCTGGTAGAATTTAAGAAAATAGGTTGTTCTTTTCTATCTTTGGATCTCATAAAAACATAAGTTATCAGCTCAGGGAGTCTTGGTTTTTACTAAGTTTGCCAAGAAGTGACCCATTTACCAGTTTCCTTTTCTCCCCCCACATTCCCCCACCCCTATTTTGAATACAGATTTTAAAATAGGATATTACAGCATTACCAAGATTGTGCCTTTTGATTTACTGAAGAAACACAACTATATCTGGACTGAAAAATGCCTCTTCTACCCTGTGGTTTTAGTGGTTGGATTCATTTTGTAAAAGTGGAGGTGGATTCCTGCCTCTAGATGAAAGGCGTAATAGATTTTGTTAACAATGGGAGGAAGAAGAGTAGTTCTTCATCTCCTCAGATGACAGGGAGCTTTCTTGTGTCGCCAGACCTTGCTCAGCAGTGTGCCAGGGACGTGGACCTGCCCTTTGTCTCCATCCGTGGTCCCTTTGGCCACTGCATCCACTCAACTGTGAATTCTTAAAGAAGCCTCTGTTCGGAGTATTTTTTTTTAAGTCAGCAAGCACTGAATTTCAGGTTACCTAAGAAATTAGCCACTAGTCTTAGGACTGAAAGGCTTTCTGAGAACTAGGCCAGGGATTCAATTTGCTTCAGAAACCAGAAGGTAATTGGAAGGGAGCAAAGAGAATGACGTTTTTCTCTCTCTTCTCAGGGGGACATTGTGTCCTGCGCTGGCACATATATCCATGTGTGGAGCATCAATGGGAACCCTATCGTGAGTGTCAACACGTTCACAGGTAGGAGCCAGCAGATCATCTGCTGCTGCATGTCGGAGATGAACGAATGGGACACGCAGAACGTCATAGTGACAGGACACTCAGATGGAGTGGTTCGGGTAAGTGAACTGAGAGAAAAACTCATTAGGATATTTGTCATCCTAGTTTACCAGAAACTTGTAGCTAATTACAGGTTAAGAACACCTGAACAAGTTGTAATGTTTAGTGAACTCTCGCTCCAGCTCAGACAGGCCTTGGCCTCTGCGTTATCAGACATGAGGAACACTGGTGTCTTGGCCTCTTTTCTTCCTATTAAGTAGATCTGGTAGTGCTACTGGCCATTTGACAGCTTGACACAGTGAGGTCAGTCAAACATGATTCCCATGTCACACTGGGATTGCTCAACATGCGAACTGCAGAAGTACTGGGTTTTCAGCCTGTCAAATGGCTTCGTAGGGAAAACATAGTGAGCAGGGATAAGTCTCTTCCCTACAGAGAATCACAGTGCTGGAAAACACTTCGAGGATCCCCAGCTAGGATCCCAGATGACTGCACCTGAAGCCTAGATGTAGTTTATCCTTTTCTTAGGTTGCTATGTGCTGGGACTCTACAGAAAATAGAGGCAATGGAGTATTCACTTTTGTAGTCTGTTGAAGTATTTGAGTTTTTCTGTCTCAGGAGATTTTTCTTTGTGCTTGTTTTTCTTTAATTGTGCTCTTTGTAAAAGCAGAGAGCAGCTGATTACCACCCTCTTTAGTCAGAGTCACATGTTGAAAGACAGTGAAGCCATCAGTCCACTCCAATACCACACCCTGTACCTCACACGGTACACATCTGTGCACACACAAAAACTCACAAACACACACACCCTGGAGTCTGCTTCCTCGACAGTGGTATTTCACACTGCTCAATCTGTGAAGCAGCATAAAATAGCTCCCTAGCCAGGCACCTGGGGATTCTGTTTACTGTATGCCCTCTTGGAGATATATAATGTGTATTAGCATATGCAAGACTCTGAGAGGTTTTTGTAGGAAACAAAAAAGTTTACTTAGTTGAACTATGTTTTTGTTTTGTTTTTGAGACAGAGTGAGTTGCTCTGTCGCCCAGGCTGGAGTGTAGTGGTGCAATCTCGGCTTACTGAAACCTCTGCCTCCCAGGTTCAAGCAATTCTCCTGCATCAGCCTCCCAAGTAGCTGGAATTACAAGCATGCACTGCTATGCCCGGCTAATTTTTGTACTTCTAGTAGAGACAGGGTTTCACCATGTTGACCTGGCTGGTCTCAAACTCCTGACCTCAAATGATCCGCCCATCTTGGCTTCCCAAAGTGCTGGGATTATAGGCAGCACTACACCTGGCCTGAACCATGTTTTTAAACTAATATGACTATAATCTTTTTCCCTGTACTTTGAAACAGCCATTGTGTGCAGGCAGCCCGCTGCCACATCTTCCAAGATACGGGAAATCTAACTGTATAACATGATGGAAATTAAGTTATCTGTTAACCCTGACAGTCTCTCTTCATTGAGTAATGTAAATTGGTTCCTTAATCTGTTTCTTAACTTTTTAATTTTTGTACTTATTTAAATTTAGTTTTGGAGAATGGAATTTTTGC
This sequence comes from Homo sapiens, assembly GCF_000001405.40. Taxonomy (NCBI): domain Eukaryota; kingdom Metazoa; phylum Chordata; class Mammalia; order Primates; family Hominidae; genus Homo; species Homo sapiens. The sequence continues at coordinate 84,682,448 of NC_000004.12, read as the reverse complement.
AAGTTCCTGAAACACCAGCTCCTGAGCCTGCTGAAGTCCTAGAAATGCAGGAAGACTGTCCAGAAGCACAAATAGGTATTTAATACTTTCTAAAAATGACTCAAATCGTTTTCATATTTCTTTTAAGTCACTGTGGATAAGCTTATACCAAACAACATAAAGAGGAGCCCAAGGTTGGGCACTGCTTGGAGAAGCATGGTTGCTGCCTGTTGTGTGATTCCTTTGAGCAGACATGCAAGGTTTTCTCTACTTCACTGGGCAACATTCAGTGTAGTGGTGTCTTGTGGTTAACTTCCACATTCCATACTAAATATAGCACTTACTTCCTAGAGTACCAAAGGCTTTGGCTTTCACTTCTGAAAACACACAACAGACCTAGAGGGCGTGCTGTTGTATAAGTCAGACAAGCCCTGCTGCACCCCAGCCCCACATTTGTTCTGCCCACCATGGGGCTGGCTCAGTGTGGACAACAGATACAATTGTGTTTGTAAACAATTAACAGAGGCAGACCAGAGTCCACAGTCAGACTTGCTTACATTGGGGCATTAATTCACACTGAAGCCTGGTTACCTATAGTCCATTATTTGTGAAGCAATTTAAAATTTTTCAGTGAAATATAGAGATAATTGATTTCTACCCAGAATAACTGAAAGCAATGCCATAATGCCAGGGTGAGATCTGCTTTGCATTGCAGTCACTGAAGAAGCCGCCCCCTTTGATGTAGAACAGTGGAACTTCCTGGAAAGGAACTTCCTGGAAAGGAACAAGGTTTGAAGTTTGACCTTCAGATTGTTTCTCCATGATTGGCTTTTGTGCACTGAGAATTCAGTGTGACTTTGATGATGTGAGAGAGTTAATAAAGGAAACTTAGCAAAAGGACACAAGTCACTTCTCTATATAAGCTGAAAGTAGCTTTTACTTTCCATGCCAGAGAAGAAAAAAGATCCCTTGGGCAGGACATTTTAATGTTGGTGTTATATTAGTACATGTAAATTTCTAATTACAGCCCCACCAAAAAGGTCATCTGGGTGTTTGGGGACATAAAAATTCAGTTTAATTCAATAAGTGTTTGGGGGTTACCTGTTATATGTCAGATATTGAATTAAGGGAACCAATGAAAAGTGGGTCATTTTCCTTTCCCTTAAAAAGCTTTTAAGTAAATAACAGTGGAAGAGGAGATGAATGAGTGAGATAGAAGGGGTCAAATTCAGGGTGGAAAGATATTTGTATGTCTTTATTGTGGGTAGTCTGGCAGAAGTGGCAGGGAGAACAGCCCACAGGAAGGATTGAACAATGTAGAAGTGGTGAGATTTGTGGGCACTTGCTGGGGTGAAATGTAAACAAGCTAGTGGTTCACTGGAAATTAAAGCCGCTTCCAAAGCTGCTTGTTTGCGGACCTCAGAGCTCACGATCATAAGCCGTTGGGGTGAAAACTTCATTCACATTAGTCCAATAGCCCCCTACTGAGTAGGAAGCAGGCAAATAAAGTATTTGTCTTGCTAAGAAAATAACTTTGGTGGGCTCAGTATCCTCAGGAGTTGGTTCTAAGACCTCCTTTTGATACCAAAATCTGAGAATGCTCAAGTCCCTGATATAAAATGGTGTATGTAGTATTTGCATAAAACCTACTAACACCCTCCTGTATACCTTAAATCATCTCCAGATTACTACCAATACAATGTAAATGCTGTGTAAATAGTTGCGATATTGTATTGTTTAGGGACTAATGACAAGGAAAAAAATTCTGCACATGTTCATTTGCAGACACAGTTTATTTCCCCAAATATTTTCCATCTGAGATTAATTGAATCCATGGATGTGGAACCCACAGAAATGGAGGGCCAGGTATACTTGTTTCTTATACATTTTCCCTCCAGTAGACTTTATTGCAAGAGAGTAGAGAGTTGATGTGAAGAAATGCAAAATAACAGTGAAAAGAGGAAGAAGAACAAAATTCCAAAGTAAGGCTTTCATAGAATAATTCACTAATCTTTAGCCAGATGTTGTGGCATGCACGTGTGGTCCCAGCTACTCAGAAGGCTGAGGCGGGCAGATTCCCTGGGCTCAGGAGGTTGAGGCTGCAGTGAGCTATGATCGCTCCACTACACTCCAGCCTGGGTGATAGAGCAAGATCCATGTATGTAAAAATAAATACATAAATAAAAATTAAAAATAAGGTAATTCACTAATCTTTGAGTCATTAACCACTATATGCAATGGCCCTTTTCTCTACCATCTTGTAGAAAGAATATCCAAAAATAGCTGGGTGTGGTGGCCCACGCCTGTAATCCTAGCACCTTCGGATGCCAAAGTGGGTGGATCATGAGGTCAGGAGTTCAAGACCAGCCTGGCCAACATAGTGAAACCCCGTCTCTACTAAAAATACAAAAATTAGCCAGGTGTGGTGGTGGGTGCCTGTAGTCCTAGCTACTTCCAAGGCTGAGGCAGGAGAATCGCTTGAACCCAGGAGGCAAAGGTTGCAATGAGCCAAGATCATGCCACTGCACTCCAGCCTGGGTGACACAGCAAGATTCTGTCTCAAAAAATACATACATACATATATATATATATATACACACGTACGTGTGTGTGTGTGTGTGTGTGTGTATATATATATATATATATATGAAGAATATCCAAAAGTAATCATTTAGAATGATAATTTCAAGAACTCAGGAGGCACAGAACTGTTAAAGGAGTCCAGAAAAGGGGGAGAATACTTTGAGCTGAAGGAATTGGGTGATTCAGAGACAAGAATGTTTAAGCTGTCCCTTGAAAGCTAGGTGACATCGGAACCCACAGAGATTGGAAAGATGGGTCTAGGCGGCACCAGCAGCATGTGAAGAAGCTCACCTTTGGAGGAGCAGGTCTGCAGGGAGAGAGCTGGAGTGACACCATCTAGCTGCAGCACAGCAGGGAGTGTGCGGCAAAGGCAGATTCTGGCCAGATTGTGAGAGATTGAATTCCAAGCTAAGGATTTTGGCCAAAGTTTTTAATAAACTCTTTCAGAAATTCGACTTTTTTATTTCTTTGCTCTCTGTACTCTAGCCAAAAATCCTGGCACTTACTTTCTTTTTTGTTACACTTAGCTTAAAATATTATGTCTATAGAGGCTTATAACTGGGAGAAAAAAAATACTAGCAGAACAAAGCTGGGTGTAACTTTGATGGTTCCGTATGTTCCAATTCTCTCAATGCTTCACCCAGGGCAGGAAGCCCAAGACGAGGACAGCAGTGATTCAGAAGCAGATGAGCAGAGCATCAGCCAGGACCCTAAGGACACTCCAAGCCAACCCAGCAGCACCAGCCACAGGCCCCGGGCAGCCTCCTGCCGCGCAACAGCCGCCTGGTGTACTGACAGTGGCTCTGACGACTCCAGACGCTGGTCCGACCAGCTCAGTCTAGATGAGAAAGACGGCTTCATATTTGTGAACTATTCAGAGGGCCAGACCAGAGCCCATCTGCAGGGCCCCCTTAGCCACCCCCACCCCAA